>NT_167247.2:3653694-3893709 GCF_000001405.40 Homo sapiens
GGCCAAATTAGCTCTCCTATCTCAAGTGTCACCCTTTTTCCAAGACAACATAAGCAAACAACTGTAAAGGGCAGGAGATTTAAGAGTCTTTAGAGTTGTGAGTAGTTAACAAAGGAATGGTGTTGTAGGGGAGGAAGAATAGCGCTTTCTTTTTCTGAAGGCAAATGAGTAGCACTTTGAGATTTGCTTACAGTGATTGGGGGTATCTGTGAGAAAGGATGTGTGGCAACCCATCTCCTGGTTGAATAGTGGATTTGTTGATTTGTTTTGTGCCTATCTGAATGAAGGAAAATAAAATTGGAGAGAGACAGTAGTGCAGAGTGTCCTTGTTCTGTGATAAGGATTCTTGAGCCTCCTGAGGGTTCAGTGGGCAGTGCAAAATACATCCTGGCTTGAGCCTTCTTGCTAGTATGTCACTCAAGTGGGTGGCCTACTTGGTAAGGGCATCTCTGCAGTACGAGCAATGAAGTGTATTGCTCGAGAGGGAGTTGAGGGGCTCTGGAATTGGCAAGACTAGAGTCAGTACTCCCACATCAGGGACTAGGCATGGTCGAGTTCTTGTATGTTCCTCCAAAGAACTGGAATATGTATTGTACAAGACATTTGGGTGTCTGCTCTAGATGACATCAAAGGACAGTCAGTCTCAGGTTCTCAGAGAAAAGAACCTACAACTAACAGAGGAAGGAGATTGCATGCCCCAAATCCATCCTCTCAGCCTCAACAGTGGGAATTATAACAACGGTGGGAATTATAGCAACAAGGAGAGTGGACAGGAAGGGGAAGCACATTGTATTTCTCCTCCCCATTCTGAGTCAGTGTGCCTGAGACGGGCCATTAGGAGAGGAGAGGGTTTTAAAGGGGATGGCTTAAGCATTTTAAATAATTTAGCATAACTAGAAAATTATGGGTTCTAAGACATCATTAAATGATAGGAAGGAGACACATGGCAGAGAACATGCTTGAAGCTTGCTAAGGTCAGATTATTTAATTAATTAGTCCTAAATGTTCCAGGCATCTAGAACCAAGCATACACAAAACTGAACTCACAATAGCATCCTATAAATCTGCTCTTCTCCACTACCTAAATCAATAAATAGTTTCATTCGTCAAGTTTCTTAGACCCCAAATCTAGGAGTAACCCTTGGTGTCTTCTTTTTCCCTTAAAATCACATTCAGTCGAACAGCAGGCCCTGTTGGCTTTGCCCCCAAAATAAATAAAATCTGAAGACCTTCTTCCCACTTCCACTCTGATCACTCTTCTCATTGCCACACTCACCTTTAGTTTCAGGCCTCTTAACTGGTCTTCCTACTTGCCCTCTTGAGCCCTCACTCTCACTCCAGTTAATCCTCCACAATAATAGAGTGATCTTTTAAAATTATAAAGTAGACCCTATCATTTCCCTGTTCAAGCCCTTCAGTTACTTCTCATGATGCCTAGAATGAAATCTGCAATTTTTTATTAAGGACTGCAGGGCCCGACATAATCTGGCTTTTGTCGCTCTGGCCCTACCTCCTGCTCTGCCTCCTTCTTTCTAGCCTGGCTGGCTGTTTTGCACCTCCATAGCAGGCCTGTGCATGTTGTACTTGTTCCTTTTGCCTGAAGCACACTCCCCCTTCTATACCATCTTTCTTTAGTCTGTTACTCTTCTTATTTTTCTACATGAATTTATCTGCCTGACATTTACTGTATGTTTACTTGGCATTATTTGCCTGTTTTATCTCAACATATAAACTCCTTAAGTGCAAGGACTTTGTCTTGCTCATGGCTATATTTCCAGTGCTTAGGATAATGCCTGGCCTACAATAGGCCAATATATATTTGTTGAATACATATATTTTTAAAATGCATTAATATCTTTGAAGACTTTTTCTTTTTTTTCCTTTAGTGTTTGACTTGTTCAATGCTGTTAGGTTTCTTATTTTAGTCTTCTTCAGATTGCTCTAGTTATATTTCTCTGGGTTGGAATTCTCCAATTTGTTGGGACTTGTGAGGTATCACTCATATGGTGCTGGATTTTCTCATAGATTTCATAACTTTTAGTAGTTTCTTATTCCTTGGGGGCTATCTTTCATGGATATTCTATGATATAAATACCCTGGGTTGTGGATCCCTTCTTGGTGGCTATTGTCCTAACTTCCTGGGTACACTGCCACTGAACCAGATCTCAGCTGTTTTAACTTGGAATATTATGCACACTGCATGGGTAGCACACCTCCAGCAGGGCTCTGCACCCTGGACAGATCTAACTCTGGACCTGTGTGGATGGCTTTGTTTTCATGCCTGGGGCAGATGGGTGAAGATATTTTGGCTTCTCCGCGTGGGGAGGCAGCGTGTTTTCTGCTCCTGGCTTTACTCCAAGTGGTGGAATTCCAGTTTTCTACATGTTGTATCTTGAGGCTTTGTCCACCATCTAGGATCAGGTGTTGAAACCCTACCTTTGTTCCTGAGGCAAAGCTGCTACCTCTGTTTCCTCATCCCCTCACCATTCCTCCCAAGAGCTTAACTTTAGCTTTCCTTTCTTTATATGTGTTCCTATATTCCATTTCTGCTCCTTGGAAATCACTCTTACCCTCCTTCTTTATGCTTAGGTATGACTGTGCATTTTTCATTTAAAAATATTTCCAGCCAAGACTTAGCCAGCCAAAAATGAGGTGTTATAAACCCTAGTTACTTTAGCATTCCTTTTTTCTTTCTCCCTACCCCTCGGGTATTGGATTTTTACATTATTTCCCTGCCCATCCTCTTTGATGACTCCTCTGAAAAGGACACTATGCATTCAATTTGGGTTCTGCCTTGTAATTTCTAGCTGTGAGACCAATAATCCCTTCTCCTGAACTTTGGTGGGCCTTGGTCTCTGTTCCCAATTATATGGCCCATGTGCAAACATAGACATCTGGAATTTCCAGCTTCATTTCTGGGTCTCAACCACTGAGTATGTATTTTCATCTGTGCAGTGAGAATACTTAGCTGATCAGCCTCTTTGCTCAGGCTTCAGAAAGGTATGTGGATAGGGATTTTGGAGAGACACTCACTTATAATTCTTTGTTGACAGTTCCATTTCTCTTCACTCAAATACCAATGTCTTTGTCCTAACATTATTGAAATTAATAAAATGTTGTTATTATGAAAACTATATCCAGAGTGTGTTTAGAAGGAACTGGAGGAGGATATATAAGCATATTTGAAATCTGTTAGAATAACATAGATGTCTTTCATGTTTAAAAATTGGAAAATTTTACCTACTATCTGGATTAAGTGAGATGCTTCTTGCATGAAGAGGTTGGCTGGAGCTGGGCAGCAGCTACCTTCTTCAGACTATGCGTGTCCTCCCAGTTTAACACAGTTCCCAGGAGACTCACCTCAACTCGCTCATTTACTGACCTGCCTGGGCTCTTTTGGCATCTGCGTTTTTAACCTTGACAGGAACTTTGGGTTTTAATATTAATGTGATTTAATTTCAGGATGAGGAATCTCGGCTGATATTGGGTTTGCTTAAATCATTTGTAACTGAGATATGAGAACCAGATTTGCATTTTGGAAAACTAGGACACAGTGTGAAAGGTGCTTTCACGAATTCTATATTAAATATCATCATGGTCAACGCTTGATCTGGTTTAAAAATTGAGTCACTGTTGGTATGTGTTACCTTGGAAGTTGGGTTTAGAACTAAAATAATGGGGCTGGGCGTGGTGGTTCACACCTGTAAACCCAGCACTTTGGGAGGCCAACGCGGGCGGATCACTTGAGGTCAGGAGTTCAAGAACAGCCTGGCCAAATGAGGAAACCCTGTCTCTACTAAAAATACAATAATTAGCTGGGCATGGTGGCTTGCACCTGTATTGCTAGCCACTTGGGAGGCTCAGGCAGGAGAATTGCTTGGACTCGGCAGGTGGAGGTTGCAGTGAGCCTAGATCACGCCACTGCACTCCAGCCTGTGTGACAGAGTGAGACTCTGTCTCAAAACAAAACAAAACAAAAAAACCTAAATAATGGGAAATATTACAGTTATGAATCAAAAAGTTTGTCTTGCAGTCCTAATCTGGAGGACTTTGGGTAATGTAGAAGCAAATGAATATGAGAAATATGAGTCTCAATCTTTTGGATACTTAGAAGTGGAAACATCTAACATAAATCTCCACATATGACCAGCTGAGAAATAAAGAACTTACTTGCAGTTCTCTGCGAAATTACTAAAAAATAAGCAAAAAGAAATCCATTTAATTTTTCTCAAATGGAGAAAACATAGCATTATCTAACATATTTTGTTGGAGTCTGTGAGGGGAGGACTTGTGTGGGCAAAGAAGGAAGCATTCCAAACCACCCTATAGATTAGTTTTAGATTAGTTTTACAATGCAAAACTAGATATAAGATTAGGCAGTGATGATGTGATGAAATCAAAGGTAGGGTTTCCTTAAAGGCCCTCTTCATTTACTGGACCCAACAGCTTTGGGTATAGTCTCGGGTAGAGACTGCCATATCTTTCTGTTTCCTTTGAATAGCATTATAATGTTTGAGAGAACACTGAAAGCCTCTCTCCATTTAAACATCATTATGGATTTCATCTCTCAATAATTCTGCTTACGTGTTATTTCATAATATTGTTCAGTTTATTACTGATGAATCCTAGCTTAGTCCCTCTTTTAATTAGTGTTTAAAAAGATTCTCTGTAATATAGACCATGTAGGGTAATAAGGAAGCAAGGGAATAATGGGAACCACAAATCACTTTGACAGAAGTGAAGTGAAGGGGACCAAAGAGAACCAAAGTAGAAAAAGACATGTAATACTTACTTATAGGTGCTGCCAGCTGACCTAAAAAAATTAGATATCAGTGAAGATTTGTTTGAAAGGAGCAAGTTTCCTTCTAGGGAGAGATATTTGTGTTGGGGAGAATCTTGGTAGTCACACAGCTCTGGATGACAATGGCTAATTCTCTGTTAAAAGCTCCAATTCTTTATGACTGCATTCTTGGGTAAGTATTTGGGTCAGTTTCTTATCTCTTACAAAGGGGTTAGTGGAGTGATTCTAAGGATTAAATGGGATTATGTAATTAAAGCACCTATATAATTCTATAGGAGGTGCAAAGTACATATGTGTTTGAAATCATGTAAATGTAAGCTTCCTTCTCAGGGAGAAGCTAGATTAGCAGAGGGCAGAGGAAACTGGGAGCTTTGAGTCAGGTAGCTGCACACAGAGTTAGAAATGAGTAGGGTAGGCCAGGCGCCTTGGCTCACACCTGTAATCCCAGCACTTTGGGAGGTCGAGGCAGGCGGATCACGAGGTCAGGAGATCAAGACCATCCTGGCGAACACTGTGATGTTCTAAAAATACAAAAAAATTTCTCCTCCCTATTCTGAGTCAGTGTGCCTGAGACTGGCCACTAGGAGAGGAGAGGGTTTTAAGAGGGGTTGGCCTGAGTGTTTTTAATAATTTAACATGATTAGAAAATTATGGTATGCTACCAGGCTACAGTAAGCAAAACAGTATGGCACTAGTAGGAAATAGACACATAGATCAATGCAACAGAATACAGAGCCCAGAAATAAGGCCACATGACTACAACTATCTGAACTTTAACAAAGCTGAGAAAAACAAGCAATGGGGAAAGGGCTTCCTATTCAATAAACGATACTGGGATAACTGGCCAGCCATATGCAGAAGATTGAAGCTGGACTCCTTCCTTACACCACATACGAAAATTAACTCAAGATGGTTTAAAGATTTAAGTGTAAAACCCAAAGCTATAAAAACCCTGGAAGACCACCTAGGCAATACCATTCTGGACATAGGAATGGGCAAAAATTTCATGATGAAGACAACAAAAGCAACTGTAACAAAAGCAAAAATTGACAGATGGGATCTAATTGAACTAAAGAGCTTCTGCCCAGCAAAAGAAACTGTCAACAGAGTAAATAGGCAACCTACAGAATGGGAGAAAGTTTTTGCAAACTATGCATCTGGCAAAGGTCTAATATCCAGCGCCTGTAAGGAACTTAAACAAATTTACAAGACAAAAACAATCCCATTAAAAAGTTGGCAAAAAAAGGGAATAGGCACTTTTCAAAAGAAGACGTACATGCAGCTCACAAACATATGAAGAAAAGCTCAACATCACTGATTGTTAGAGAAATGCAAGTCAAAACCACAATGAGATACCATCTCGCACCAGGCAGAATGGCCATTATCAAAATGTCAGAAAATAACAGATACTGGGGAGGCTGTGGAGAAAAAGGAACAGTTTTACCTTGTTGGTGGCAACGTAAATTAGTTCAACCATTGTGGGAAACAGTGTGGCAATTCCTCAAAGACCCCAAAACGGAGCTACCATTCGACCCAGCAATCCCATTTCTGGCTATATGCCCAAAGTAATAAAAATTGTTCTATCATAAAGAAACACACGTGTGTTTATTGCAGCACTATTCACAGTAACAATGACATGGAATCAACCTAAATGCCCGTCAACGATAGACTGGATAAATAAAATGTACATATACACCATGTAATACCATGCAGCCATAAAAAGGAACAAGATCATGTCCTTTGCAGGAACATGGATGGAGCTGGAGGGCGTTATCCTTAGCAAACTAATGCAGGAAGAGAGAACCAAATACCACATGTTCTCACTTACAAATGGGAGATAAATGATGAGAACACATGGACACAGAAGGAAACAACAGGCACTGGGGCTTATTGAAGGGTGGAGGGTGAGAGGACGTAGACAGACAGGAAAAATAACTAAGGGGTTCTAGGCTTAATACCTGGGTGATGAAATAATCTGTACAACAAACCTGCATGACACAAGTTTACCTATATAACAAACTGCACATGTATCCCTGAACTTAAAACTTAAATAAAAATAAAGAAAGCAAGTTGATACTACTTATCATAATATTTCCTTACAAGTAAATAAAGGAAAGCTAAAAAAAGCCAACCAAAGACATAATGAAATATTATTTGGCCATAAAAAGAACTGAAGTACTGCTGCATATTACCATGTGGATGAACCTGGTGAACCTTATGCTAAATGGAAGAAGCCAGGCACAAAAGACCTCCTATTGTTTGATTCCATTTATATGAAATGTCCAGAACAGCTGAATCTATAGAGACAGAAAGAAGATTAGTGGTTGCCTGGGGCTATGGTGTGGAGAGGGTTTTGGGTTGGGGGATAGTGGGAAGTGATTGCTAAACAGAGTTTTTCTGGGGGGTGATGAGAATGTTCTAAAATTCATTGTGGTGATGGTTGCACAACCCAGTGAATATACTAAAAAGCATTAAATTCCACACTTTAAATGAGTGAATTATGTCATATGTGAATATCATCTCAATAAAGCTGTTATTTACAAAGATAAAAAAGATAAAATTATGGGTTCTAATGCATCATTAAGGGACAGAGAGGAGATATTTTCCAGAAAACATGCTTGAAGCCTGCTAAGGTCAGATTATTTAATTAATTAGTCCTAAATATCCCAGGCATCTAGAACCTAACATATGCAAAACTGAACTCACAATAGCATCCTATAAATCTGCTCTTCTCCGCTACCTAAATGAATAAATAGTCTCATTCGTCAAGTTTCTTAGACCCCAAATCTAGGAGTAACCCTTGGGGTCTTCTTTTTCCCTTAAAATCACATTCAGTCGAACAGCAGGCCCTGTTGGCTTTGCCCCCAAAATAAATAAAATCTGAAGACCTTCTTCCCACTTCCACTCTGATCACTCTCTCCTTGCCACACTCACCTTAATTTCAGGCCTCTTAACTGGTCTTCCTACTTGCCCTCTTGAGCCCTCACTCTCACCCCAGTTAATCCTCCACAATAATAGAGTGATCTTTTAAAATTATAAAGTGGGCCCTATCATTTCCCTGTTCAAGCCCTTCAGTTGCCTCTCATGACACCTAGAATGAAATCTGCAATTTTTTATTAAGGACTGCAGGGCCCGACATAATCTGGCTTTTGTCGCTCTGGCCCTACCTCCTGCTCTGCCTCCTTCTTTCTAGCCTGGCTGGCTGTTTTGCACCTCCATAGCAGGCCTGTGCATGTTGTACTTGTTCCTTTTGCCTGAAGCACACTCCCCCTTCTATACCATCTTTCTTTAGTCTGTTACTCTTCTTATTTTTCTGCATGAATTTATCTGCCTGACATTTAGTATATGTTTACTTGGCATTATTTGCCTGTTTTATCTCAACATATAAACTCCTTAAGTGCAAGGACTTTGTCTTGCTCATGGCTATATTTTCAGTGCTTAGGATAATGCCTGGCCTACAATAGGCCAATATATATTTGTTGAATACATATATTTTTAAAATGCATTAATATCTTTGAAGACTTTTTCTTTTTTTTCCTTTAGTGTTTGACTTGTTCAGTGCTGTTAGGTTCCTTATTTTAGTCTTCTTCAGATTGCTCTAGTTATATTTCTCTGGGTTGGAATTCTCCAATTTGTTGGGGCTTGTGAGGTATCACTCACCACTCACATGGTGCTGGATTTTCTCATAGATTTCATAACTTTTAGTAGTTTCTTATTCCTTGGGGGCTATCTTTCATGGATATTCTATGATATAAATACCCTGGGTTGTGGCTCTCTTCTTGGTGGCTATTGTCCTAACTTCCTGGGTACACTGCCACTTAACCAGATCTCAGCTGTTTTGACTTGGAATATTATGCACACTGCATGGGTAGCACACCTCCAGCAGGGCTCTGCACCCTGGACAGATCTAACTCTGGACCTGTGTGGGTGGCTCTGTTTTCATGCCTGGGGCAGATGGGTGAAGATATTTTGGCTTCTGTGCATGGGGAGGCAGTATATTTTCTGCTACCGGCTTTACTCAGAGGGGCCTAATTTCAGTTTTCCGCATGTTGTATCTTGAGGCTTTTGCTGTCATTTGGGAGCAGATGTTGAAACCCTACCTTTGTTCCTGAGGCAAAGCTGTCATCTCTATTTTTTCATCCCCTCACTGTTCCCACCAAGAGCTTAACTTTAGCTTCTTCTTGCAATGTGTTCCTATATTCAATTTCTGCTCCTTGGAAATCTTACCCACCTTTTTTATGCTTAAGCTTGGCTGTATATTTTTCATTTATAGATATTGCCCGGTAACACTTTTTAAACTTTTATTTTAAATTCAGGGACACATGTGCAAGGTTGTTATATAGGTAAACTTGTGTCATGGGGGTTTGTTGTACAGATTATTTTGCTACCCAGATATTAAATCTAGTTATTTTTCCTGATCCTCTCCCGCTCCCACCCTCCACCCTCTGACAGGCCCCAGTGTCTATTTTTCCCCTCTGTGTGTCCATGTGTTCTCATCATTTAGCTCCCGTTTATAAATAAGAACATGTGGTATCTGGTTTTCTGTTCCTGCATTAGTTTGCTAGGGGTAATGGCCTCTAGATCCATCCGTGTTCCAGCAAAGGACATGATCTCATTCTTTTTTCGGCTGCGTAGTATTCCATGGTGTATATGTATCACATTTTCTTTATTCAGTCTACCATTGATGGGCATTTAGGTTGATTCCATGTATTTGCTATTGTGAATAGTTCTGTGTTTAACATAACTGTGCAAGTGTCTTTATGATAGAATGGTTTATATTCCTTTGAGTCTATACCCAGTAATGGGATTGGCCAGCCAACACTTAGCTATCCAAAAAGCAGGTGGTATAATCCCTAGTTACTTTTGCGTGCTTTTTTTCATCCCCTCTACTAGGATGATATATAGGATCCAAGACCCTATATATCTATTGGGTCTTGGATTTTTACATCTTTTTCCTGCCCATACTCTCTGATGACTTCTCTGAAAAGGACACTATGCCTTCAATTTGGATTTTGGCTTGTAATTTCTAGCTGTGAGACCAGTAATCCCTTCTCCTGACTTCAGGTGGGCATTGGTCCCTGTGCCCAATTATAGGGCCTATTCCCAAACATGGGCATATGGATTTTGCAGCCTCATCCCTGGGTCGGAACCATTGTCTCTGTATTTTTATCTGTGCCGTGAGAATACTTAGCCGATCAGCCTCTTTGCTCAGGCTTCAGAAAGATGTGTGGATGAGGACTTTGGAGAGACACTGGCTAATTCTGTGTTAATAGCTCCAATTCTCCTCTCTCAAATACCAATGCCTTTGTCCTAACATTATTGAAATGAGTAAAATGTTATTATGAAAACTGTATCCAGAGTGTGTTTAGATGGAACTAGAGGGGAGTATGTAAGTATGTTTGCAATCTGTTAGAGTAACCCAGATGTCTGTCATGTTTAAAACTTGGAAAATTTTACCTACTATCTGGATTAAGTGAGATGCTTTGGCAACTCTGAATCTGAATTCTTGCATGAAGAGGTTGGCTGGAGCAGGCAGCAGCTACCCTCTTCAGACTATATGTGTCCTCCCAGTTTTACACAGTTTCCAGGAGATTCACCTCATCTCACTCATTTACTGACCTGCCTGGGCTCTTTTGGCATCTGCATTTTTAACCTTGACAGGAACTTTGGTTTTTAATATTAGTGTGATTTAATTTCAGGCTGAGGAATCCCAGCGATGTTAGGTTTGCTTAAATCATTTGTAACTGAGATATGAGAACCAAATTTGCATTTTGGAAAGGTAGGACATAGTGTGAAAGGCGGTTTCACGAATTCTATATTAAATATCATCATTGTTAGTGCTTGACCTGGTTTAAATATTGAGTCACTGTTGGTATGTGTTACCTTGGAAGCTGAGTTTAGAACTAAAATAATGGGAAATACTACAGTTACGAATCAAAAAGGTTGACTTGCAGTCCTAATCTTGAAGACTTTGGGTAATGTAGAAGCAAATGAATATGAGAAATATGAGGCACTTAGAAATAGAAACAACTAAGATAAGAAAAGTCCCCACATATGACCAGCTGAGAAGTAGAGTACTTACTTGCGGTTCTCTGTGAAATTACTGAAAAATAAGCAAACAGAAATCCATTTAATTTTTCTCAAATAGAAAACACATAGTATTATCTAATATATTTTGCTGGAGTCTGTGAGGGGAGGACTTGGGTGGGCAGTGAAGGAGGTATTCCAAACCACCCTATAGATTATTTGGTTTTAGATTAGTTTTATAATGCAAAACTAGATGTAAGATTTAGCAGTGATGATGTAATGACGAAGTCAAAGGTAGAGTTTCCTTAAAGGCCCTCTCCACTTATTGGACCTGAACAGCTTTGGGCATAGTGTTGGGAAAAGACCACTGGATCCTTGCACTATAATGTTTGAAAGAACACTGAAGGTTTCTCTCCATTTAGACATCATTTTGGATTTCATCTCTCTCTCTCTTTCTCTCTCCACCCCCCTGAAAATTCCTCCTACTATGAAATAATATTTCATAGTATTGTTCAGTTTATTGTTGATGAATGCTAGCTTAGTCCCGCTTTTAATTAGTATTTTAAAAAAATTATAGGGCAAGCAGGGTAATAAGGAAGCAAGAGAAGAATGGGAAACTCAAATCACTTTGACAGAAGTGAAATGAAGGGGACCATAGAGAACCAAAGAAGAAAAAGAGATGTTATACTTACTTATGGGTGCCATGGGTGGACCTAAAAACCAAATTAGATATTGGTGAAGATTTCTTTGAAGGAAACAAGGTTCCCTCTAGGGAGGTATATTTGTGTAGGGGAGAAACTTGGACACCTTTCTGGGTCTAAATTATGATTCTATGACTATGTATTCTTGAGTAAGTATTTGGCTCAGTTTCTTATCTCTTACAAAGGGATTGGTGGAATTATTCTAAGGATTAAATGAGGTAATGTAATTAAAGCACTTAAATAGTTCTAGAGGAGATACAAAGTAAATATATGTTTGAAATTATGTAAATATAACTTCTTTCTCAGGGAGAAGCTGGATGAGCAGAAGGCAGAGGAAACTGGAAGCTTTGAGTCAGGTAGCTGCACACAGTTAGAAATGAGCAGGGTAGAGACAGGTCTCTAAGCCTTGCAGGGAACAACAAGAACAACAACAGAAAAGAGTAGAAAAAGAAATGGAACTTACCGCGGGGTGCTGAAGGTGGACCAGCTGAAAAACAGAGAGGTATCTTAGCAACTGTTTTTTCTCCCATGATATTTTCCTTTCTATGTAGAGAGTTTCTTCTTGGTAGGTCATTATAACAATAGGGAAAACTTTCCCTTTGGTATTCATTTATTTTTAATATGAATCAGCAGAATGTGAACTTTCAAAAAATCATTAATAACTTCATGGAATTTTGATGATAGGAAAGTAAGTGGTTAAAGTAGTATGCACCCCAAGCCTGGAAATCTTAGCTGTACCAGGGAAAGGAGAGATTCCAGAATCCTACGGTGGTGAAAACATGGACATACTGATGGCAAGTGAAATGAATCCAGCTTGCAACTAGACCAGAAACAATTATCTCCTTTTTCTTTCCCCATTGCTCAAATTGTCTTTCAGTTTGTTAAGTCCCTTGTAATATATCATTTTGACCTGCTGATAAACTTTCTCCCCTTCCCTTTATTTTTTAATAAAATAGTAAGTTTGATTTTTTCCATAGAGTTATTTAAAAGGTGAGAGAATGATGTGTCACATGAAAGCAAAACACGGAGGAAATAACAACTTAAAGTTGTTATTTAAAGTTTAGGCTTAAATCCTCTAAAGTCTCTAAAAGGTGATACAAATTTTTCTTAGATGTTTTGGAATTTAAATGTGGAAAAAAGAGACCAGATATGGCAGGAGGTTCAAATGAAAAAGGGTTATAGAAACTTCTTATCTACTCCTTTCTCTCCTACCATTTTTTCCCTTTTTAAGGTAGTCTCTTGTTGATGGGCTTTGAAATTTTGTAAAATTTTTTTCTCTGCTCTGACTTATCTCTTCCCTTTTTGCAGTGACTGGTAACTGCTTGAAATCCTGCAGGGGATTGTAAATTGATAGTCTTAAAACTTTCCAGTACATCATGAATAATGCAGAGAGGTTTTGATAATGAGACAGCAAGAGGCCAAGATATATCTCAAGCCCTTTGTATCCCAATATGGGCAGATAAAGACTCTTGGACTCCACTAGAGACCAACTGAGTCCTAAAGGAGAGAATTCAATGAACACATAGACTTACTGATTGTGTGAGGATGCGATCTGACTGAAAAACAAGCAAAGATACTTTTTGTTACCCCTTTCTTGTTTCTTTTCCTACTCATTTTTTTTTCTATTGGTAAATTTACTAGTGATATACTTGCTTGAACATTTTTTTTTAAATCAAAGGCACTAGAAATTTCCAGAAAACTAATTATCAGCTGGTTGAATTCTGGATAATGGAAAAACAAAAGGCTGAGAAAATAGAACTTCAAGTTCCATGTTGCAACTCAAGTTCCAATAGACATCAGTGGACTTTGATAAATGCACCACAGAGAAACAAATAAATAACTGACTAATTGCCTGTATAGATGACTTATCTAGAAAGCAGAAATGGATCTATATCATTTTTCTGTCATTTTTTTTCCTTCTGCATGGAAAGTTCCTAACATTCTTTAGAGTCATGTAAAAACTTTTTTCTCAGGTCTTTATTTTTTATGCGAGTCAGTGAATGTTCTAGAAACTTATTAATAATTTATTTATGCCTTTCTGCCCATGGATGCCACGGAAGAAGCATCATTAAAGTCTCTCTTCTCCTGGCCGTCTTATCTAAGTCAGAGTCTCCTAAAGAGCCAGAACAACTGAGGAAGCTCTTCATTGGAGGGTTGAGCTTTGAAACAACTGATGAGAGCCTGAGGAGCCATTTTGAGCAGTGAGGGACACTCCCGGACAGTGTGGTCATGAGAGATCCAAACCCAAGCGCTCCAGGGGCTTTGGATTTTTCACATATGCCACTGTGGAGGAGGTGGATGCAGCCGTGAATGCAAGGCCACACAAGGTGGATGGAAGAGCTGTGGAACCAAAGAGAGCTGTCTCAAGAGAAGATTCTCAAATACCAGGTGCCCACTTAACTGTGAAAAAGATATATGCTGGTGGCATTAAAGAAGACACTGAAGAAATCACCTAAGAAATTATTTTGAGTAGTATGGAAAAATTGAAGTGATTGAAAACATGACTGACCGAGGCAGTTGCAAGAAAAGGGGCTTTGCCTTTGTAACCTTTGATGACCATGACTCCGTGGATAAGACTGTCATTCAGAAATACCACAGTGTGAATGGCCACAACTGTGAAGTTAGGAAAGCCTGTCAAAGCAAGAGATGGCTAGTGCTCCATCCAGCCGAAGAGGTCGAAGTGGTTCTGGAAACTTTGGTGGTGGTCATGGAGGTGGTTTCGGTGGGAATGACAACTTTGATCATGGAGGAAACTTCAGTGGTTGTGGTAGCTTTGGTGGCAGCTGTGGTGGTGGTGGATATGGTGGCAGTGAGGATGGCTATAATGGATTTGGTAATGATGGGAGCAATTTTGGAGGTGGTGGAAGCTACAATGATTTTGGCAATTACAACAATCAGTCTTCAAATTTTGGACCCATGAAGGGAGGAAACTTTGGAGGCAGAAGCTGTGGCCTCTATGGTGGTGGAGGCCAATACTTTGCCAAACCATGAAACCAAAGTGGCTATTGTGGTTCCAGTAGCAGCAGTAGCTATGGCAGTGGCAGAAGATTTTAATTAGGAAACAAAGCTTAGCAGGAGAGGAGAGCCAGAGAAGTGACAGGGAAGCTACAGGTTACAACAGATTTGTGAACTCAGCCAAGCACAGTGGTGGCAGGGCCTAGCTGGTACAAAGAAGACATGTTTTAGACAAATACTCATGTGTATGGGCAAAAAACTCGAGGACTGTATTTGTGACTAATTGTATAACAGGTTATTTTAGTTTCTGTTCTGTGGAAAGTGTAAAGCATTCCAACAAAGGGTTTTAATGTAGATTTTTTTTTGCACCCATGCTGTTTATTGCTAAATGTAATAGTCTGATCGTGACACTGAAAAAAATATATATTTGTGTTCTGAGTAATGGAAAAATAAGGGACCAAGGAAATTGGAACATTATCATATCACAATGTGGATGCATACATTTTGGCTTAAGATATGTTAGACACTGCTGGAGATAATTGAGTTTCACTCATGAAGGGAAATGGTCAAACTTACAAGAGGATCCTGTAGCTGAAAAACAAAGATAAATCAACGTGTACAGCCTGCTGAAAGAGGAGCTAGTTTTCGTACTACTTTCCTGAAAGGAAATATCAGAAATGGCAATGGAAGAAACATCCTTCTTAGGGCAAGGGCATAGAGCGCTGTGCTGGGGAATATACCTGCCATCATGCCTTGTGGGGATTCTGCCTTCTGCTTAGTATAGGAGGCTGCAGGAAAGGGAGATGATTGATCTCTTCCCTTTTTGCAGTGAGTGGTTACTGCTGGAAATCCTGCGGGGGATTGGTAATTTCTTTAAACTGTGCTGCCTTTACCTTTCTTCTCCCTATTTCTGCCATCCTGTGAAAGCTTTCATTTATTCATACAAATATCCTTCCCTTCCCTTGTTGACAAGTCACTATAAACTTCGGGTAGTTTCCGAACTTTATCTCTCTATTTTGGGTTTGGTATTCTCCTTTATTCATTCCTTATAGGAGTGGAGCAGCAGCTAAATAGAGGAATAAGCAAAAGAAATGAAGAAATGTGAGTTTCTACACACACAAGACAGAAATGAGCAAAGAGGAAAAGTATGCCAGGCCCTATAGGAAGCCAAAGGCAGCTATCATACAATAGACATGGAACTTAACCAGTCATTTCTGAAGTTTCATCTGGTGGTAAAAAACGGAAGGAACACAAAATGGAGAAATCAACATGTGTAGAACCAAGTGAATTCAGTTCTCCCTTGATAGGCTTAAAGAGGGTAACTGCAGAGAGGATATGGGGGGCCCTAAAATCTGACAGCTCAGTGCATGTCCGGCCTTACGTGCCTTACTTTGTGCTTTGTAGCCTCAGACCTGTTTCTGCTGGTCTGAGGCAGGAGATTGGCTATAAAGTGGTAAAGTGAGGCTTTGTTCTTCCTTCTCATTTCATTTAGGAACAGTAAATGCTTGAAACACTTCTAGAGGTTCATAATGTCTTAAACTTATATGTACTTTTGTCAGTCTCATTTTCTTTTTCTTTTATTTTCTTTCTTTCTTTTTTTTTTTTTTCTTTTTGAGACAGAGTCTTGCTCTGTTGCCCAGGCTGGAGTGCAGTGGCATGACCTCAGCTCACTGCAACCTCTGCCTCCCAGGTTCAAGCGATTACAGGTACCTGCCACCAAGTCTGGCTCATTTTTGTAGGTTTTTTTTTTTTGAGACGGAGTCTTGCTCTGTCACCCAGGCTGGAGTGCGGTGGCGTGATCTCGGCTTACTGCAAGCTCTGGCTCCTGGGTTCATGCCATTCTCCTGCCTCAGCCTCCCGAGTACCTGGAACTACAGGCACCCGCCACCATGCCCGACTTATTATTATTATTATTTTTTTGTATTTTTAGTAGAGACAGGGTTTCACTGTGTTAGCCAGGATGGTCTCCATCTCCTGACTTCGTGATCTGCCCGCCTTGGCCTCCCAAAGTGCTGGATTACAGGCGTGAGCCACCAGTGCGCCGGGCCTAATTTTTGTATTTTTAATAGAGGCGCGGTTTCATCATGTTGGCCAGGCTGGTCTTGAACTACTGACCTTAAGTGATCTGGCCCACGGGGCCTCCCAGAGTGCTGGGATTATAGGCGTGAGCCACTGCGCCCGGCCTCATTTTTTTGTGTGTGTGTTTTTGAGACAGAGTCTCGTTCTGTCGCCCAGGCTGAAGGGCAGTGACACGATCTCGGCTCACTGCAACCTCCACCTCCCGGGTTCAAGCGATTCTCCTGCCTCTGCCTCCTGAGTAGCTGAGATTACAGGCGTGCACCACCACGCCCAGCTAACTTTTGTATTTTTTTTTTTTAGACAGAGTCTCACTCTGTCACCCAGGCTGGAGTGCAGTGGTGAGATCTCGGCTCACTGCAATCTCCACCTCCCAAGTTCAAGTGATTCTCCTGCCTCAGCCTCTCAAGTAGCTGGGACTACAGGCATGCGCTACCATGCCTGGCCAATTTTTTGTATTTTTAATAGAGACGAAGTTTCACCATGTTGGCCAGGCTGGTCTTGAACTTCTGACCTCAAGTGATCCACCCACCTTGGCCTCCCAAAGTGCTAGGATTACAGGCATGAGCCACCTTGCCTGGCCAAATTTTTGTATTTTTAGTAGAGACGGGGTTTCACCATGTTTGTCAGGCTGGTCTCGAACTCCTGACCTCGTGATCCACCTGCCTCGGGCTCCCAAAGTGCTGAGATTACAGGCATGAGCCACCATGCCTGGCCCTGGCCTCATTTTCTTTAGTCACTCTTGTTCACTAACCTTTTAATTAATTAATTATATTTAAGAGGTACAAGTACAGATTTCTTATGTCATATATGGCATAGTGGTGAAGTCTGGGCTTTTAGTGTACCCATTACCCAAATAGTGAATATTCTACCCAATAATTTTTATTGACTTGAAAAGCTTTCTTCCTACTCTTCTTTACTAGGGCTGTTGGGAGCCACTAATTTTTGTTAAAGTCATTTAAATTTTAATCAGTTCATTTTGCACTTTCTCCAAATCGCTTATAACTTAGGGGAAAGCTAGAAAGGAATAAAATAGCAATATATTTTTCATTTATACACTATCATATTTTTAAATTGTTTACACATAAGGGAGAGGGAGTCAAGCGGGGAGAAAAGGGAAAGGGAATTCATGTATCCATGTAGATTCTCTGGCACATGGTGGCTATTAGGGAACTGTGGACCAGATGTGACCCTTCCTTTAGCCCCAGTGAGTTCCTCTGAGGTGAGCTGGCTTATGTTTATCCCCCCTGTAATAATTATGAGAACTTCCAAGGCTATAAGTCTTGGCAATCTGTGAGTACTGAGAAAAGCAGTCTTGATTCAGGGGAATAGTCAATAACAAATGGCTCTTATTCATTCACAAAAAGGATAGTTAGAACCAGAATTCAGGGCAGTAAATATCCAGTTTTAATGGTCATAGTGTGGCTGTATGGGATGCTGCCTGCCCTCTACACATTTTGGGTTTGTTTTCCCAAGTTATCTTATAGGACTGTAAACTCCATGGCATCAGTGACCAACCATATCTTTCTCTCCCTTATTCATGACTTTATCCTCAGTGCTCAGCTTAGTATCAGATACATGGTAGGAGCTCAGCTAGATGAAGGAATGTTTGTTTGAATATATGTGACTTGCCCTCTGATAATTCTTCCTGCTTGACTTAAACTTTCTAATGCTATCCCTTAATTTCTAGATTCAGAATTTCCCGTGTCCTGGGGTTGGTTCGATGCCCTAGTTTGTCCCTAGCTCGTCACAATATGAACTTTCATTTTATTCTCTTCCATATGTGATGCTTCTGCCAGTTCCTGTAAATTACAGCCCAATTACTGTTATATCCTGTTCCATGAGGTGCTCTGTCCTATCTTTCTTTTCCTCTCTGTCGTGCGTGTGTGTGCGCGCGCGCACGTGTGTTGGGGATGTTTGGAGATAGTGAGCCGGATAGGACATGAGGAAAGAGAAAGGCCTTTGGAGAGAAGACTGGAGAACTCAGGTTAGACTAGACCCTGCATAGTATTTCCTGTTAAATTTTATTGTCTTTTCTCCCTTTTGTATTTATTCTTAAAATTTGATTTTCTTTTCTCATTTCCTCCTCATTGTCTCCTCCATTATCTTTGAGTAGGCCCTTTAGAAACTACAAAGCACTTCAGAACTGGAAAGCTGCCCTTATTATTCTCTCTCTGCTACTTTAGAAAATTCTTGTATATTGTTATAGAAGACATTATGACTATTTCTGGGGACATTTTCTTACTCTTTTTCTTTTAAAAAAAATAGCCCTGGAGAATTCTCAGTAGGTTGAAATCAGGAAGCATAAAAACATGTGTAAAATAACTGCTCTTATGGCAGTGAGACACATCTAGGGCATTTGAGACAGGGAACAGGCCCTCTAGACACTGTAGAAGATCAAGGAACCTGGAGGGAGAAGGATAGATAAGGTACTTACCATTGGGTCCAGGATATTGTACTAAAAAATAGAAACAAACAAATTAAACACACACACACACACACACACACACACACACACACACACACTTCTATTTTTTGAGACAGAGTCTCTCACTCTGTCGCCCAGGCTGGAGTGTGGTAGGGTGATCTTGGCTCACTGCAACCTCCACCTTCTGGGTTCAAGGGATTCTCGTGCCTCAGCCTCCTGAGTAGCAGGGATTACAGGTGCCCGCCACCATGCCTGGCTATTTTTTGTATTTTTAGTAGAGATGGGGTTTCACCGTGTTGGCCAGGCTGGTCTCGAACTCCTGACCTCAGGTGATCCTTGGCCTCCCAAAGTGCTGGGATTACAGGTGTGAACCACTGCGCCTGGCCCCAAAACACCTCTATTAGTGATATTTTCCAAAGGCAAGCAGTGAAAATGATTTTCTCAGGAATTACTAAATCTCAGTATTCAGGATTAAATATTTTTCACTGCACTGCTGCTGTACTCTAGCCTCTCCATAAGAACCAGATCTTCTTTTAGGAGATTATTAACCCTGTTTTAGCATAACCACTTCATTCTTGCTTTTCATTATAGGTGTTGGAGATGAGATCCTTAATTGTATTCCTTTCCCCATATTCCCCCAGTGTTTTTCCTCAGATCACTCTGTTTCACTCTCAGCTATCTTTATGTTCTTGTTCATTTCTTATATTCTTTTCCAGATTCGATTACACCTTTGCCTTAGGAAGTTATTCTAATGATTACTGACAAGCCACTATAATCATTATTAGAACAATGCCTATCTATTATGAATTTTAAGGTAATGGAATTTCCATTTTCTAAAATATAATTGGTTGCCCAGAGAGATGGTTAGTGTTAATCCAAACTGCACCATTTTGTAAGCCTCCAGCAATTTGAAGACCTTGGTAAAAGTGAAACATTCCACGGGGGTTCGGGCTGTGAGAAACATTCTGCCTAACCACCTGAACACAAGGTGGACAAAGGGCCAACTAAAGAAACATCCCTGTCATATTCAGCTGGGAGAAAGTGCAAGGAACACTACATTCTGCAGGAACAAGGGCCAGAACCCCCTCATCATGGGAACATCTTATCAATATCCTGCCGGCCAGCAAGCCATACTACCCAGACCCCTCCCGCCTATACCTATAAGTACCCCCAGCCTGTAAGCAGCAGTGGGCACTGGCATTAGGCTGGTTCCCCACTTCTGTAGGTCTTATGCTGGACGTAAAGCCTACATTTGCTGTACAGCCGCCACTCTCTCTGTGTCTTTTCTTTAACCCTCGCCTTCCCTCCAAAACCTAACAGTTACGATATGGGGAAATGAAAGTCTAAGAAATATGATTTTCAACTTCTTTAACCCAGATACTTAAACAGTTGGAGCCAGTCTCCTTCAGACATAGTAAGAAGCCAGTAGAGATAAGTTGATATATACAGGCAGCTTACCAATAGGTCCTGGAGTTTGCACTAAAAAGAAATTCAAATTGGCATATTAGTACAGTTATTTGTAGAGTGTATTTTTCACTAATTTTATCCTAGAAGTGAGGCTTTGAGAGGTAGAGCAGGGGAGAGGAAGTGATATCAGTTATGAGATCATTAGGGAGACTTAATCCAACTATATTAACTATAGAAAAAAGGAAAAAGGATATTTAGCATTTACTGCAATATTTCAGCCCAAGGTGAAGGTTTTTATAGGATCCTTGCCAACCTAAGGGATACTAGGGAAAGGCAAAACTTTGTTATTAGGTATTAACATTACTGATGGTAGGGAAAGGTGAAACACTTCCTGTCAGTAAGAGTAGAAGATATTTCTTTCTCAAGGGACTGTTCTTTCACTAAAATCTTTATTTCTGATCAACTAATATGTTCCAGAGGTAGACATTAGAATAGGAGGTAAGAATCTAGTTTCTTCTTCTCACAGCTTCCAGCTTATTGGAGAGTGATAGAGCAGTGACTGCTGCTTTGATTAGCTTTAGAGTCTGTGAGCAAAGAGTCAACAAAACCTTCTGGTTTTTTTTGTTTTGTTTTGTTTTGTTTTTTGAGATAAGGTCTCACTCTGTCACCCAGGCTGGAATGCAGTGGTGCAATCCTAGCTCACTACAGTCGCGACCTCCTGGGCTCAAGTGATCCTCCCACCTCAGCCTCTTGAGTAGCTAGGACTACAGCTGCATGCCACTATTCCTGGCTAATTAAAAAAATTTTTGTAGAGATGGGGTCTTGCTCTGTTGTTGCTCAGGCTGATCTTGAACTCCTGGTCTCAAGTGATCCTCCTGCCTTAGCCTCCCAAAGTGCAGAAATTACAGGTGTGAGCCCATGCCTGGCCAAAACCTTCAGTTTTTAATGAGAATTTGGCCTTCAGTTGATTTTCTAGCTCTGATCGCCTGGTGACCTGATAAATATCGAAAGCCTGTTATGTTTTTTTTGTTGTTGTTTTTTTTTTAGACGGAGTCTTACTCTGTCGCCCAGGCTGGAATGCAGTGGCACGATCTCGGCTCACTGCAACCTCTGCCTCCTGGGTTCAAGCGATTCTCCTGCCTTAGCCTCCTGAGTAGCTGGGACTGCAGGCGCACGACACCACACCCAGCTAATTTTTGTATTTTTTTAAGTAGAGATGGGGTTTCACCATATTGGCCAGGCTGGTCTCAAACTTCTGACCTTGTGATCCCCTGGTCTTAGCCTCCCAAAGTGCTGGGATTACTGCACCCAGCCGAAAGCCTGTTATGTTATTTAGCAACACTGCTTACATAAGAATGATCCTTGATGTTAGACTGCATCTGAACTGGGAGAATTGTAAATATGTATTAAGAAGCCATAACTTTGGGCTTCCCTGAGTGTAGTGACCCATGTATTTGGTCATATTCCTTACGGGATCCCTGCAGGTAATGTGTATGGGGTTCTTATAGGAGATTTTAGTTCCTGGTGGACCTGTGGGGTTTCTAAGCTAGGTCAGCTCCCAATTCAACTGACAGAAGGCCAAACAGAATAGGTCCTAGGTGGCTATGTGGACCTAGCATAGATCATGGCGAGTACTACTCCCACAGCAGAGGGATAGCTGTTAATGCCCTTGCTGGCAAACTGTGCTTCCTGCCTTAGGTCCTACTGAGTAGACTGTTCCCAGATGAGAGCTATGGTAATCTTCTAAGTCTGCATGGTTAGTTGAATCTAAAAAGACCATATCTTCACCCAGTGGGCATTGCAGTTAATAATCCTTCACTTCAGTGTCACTCAGAATGAGAAATATCCACATTTTGATCAATAATCCTCGAACTTTTAACTCTGAATTTTTTTTTTCCTGTGTAAAACACCTGGAAGATGGCTTTCCAGATCTGGATACCCTTGGCTATGAGCAGTAAACCAGTTACACATTTAGATATTATGCTAACTTAATAGTTGCTTTGCCTGTATCTACAAATATGTATCTTTGATTCTGAAGTAGAACTCTTATGATACCTGCCCTCTTGACATAAGTTACTAAATCCTTGGATAGGTGATCACTTCAAAATTTTGTTTCTTCAGTTTTTCTATATTTTCTTCCTTCCTTTCCGGTTTCAATTTGTGACTTTTTGTACCTTTATTTTTATTCTCTTTCTCAACATACTCATTTCCCTTCTTTATTCTCTTATGTGCCAATTCACTTACTCTTTCTGCTTCCAATTTTCTTCCTACTTTTGTTCTTTTTCAATTTTCTCCTATTTATCTCTTTCTAAACTGCATCTTCATTCTGTATCTGTTATTATTTGTGTTACTCATTCTCTCACTTT
The DNA here is from genome assembly GCF_000001405.40 of Homo sapiens. Lineage (NCBI taxonomy): Eukaryota > Metazoa > Chordata > Mammalia > Primates > Hominidae > Homo > Homo sapiens. The sequence continues at coordinate 3,676,456 of NT_167247.2, forward strand.
TTCTCCTCTAGGCCTTTACTACCCTTTAATCTCAATATTAGAACTTCATTTTATTCATTGTTAATAACCTGTTATAACACCCAAAAATGATAGTGGAAAGAATGAAGAGTTAGTAAAACTTCAGTCTTAATTTTATTAACTAACCCATCCTCTTATTTTTTTGAGAAATGACTCCTGACCCTCAGTTTCCTCATCTCTAAATATGGGGATAATAACTGCCTTACTCATTGCCATTTGAATGTTGTTTAGATGCAACAAAGTAATGTACGCGAGGGTTAAAAAAACAGTAGTAAGACATTATAGGGATCACTCAAAGAATGTGACTAGGTTGCTAAAAGTTGCTGAAAATAGAGCCTAACTCTTCTGGAGAGAACTTTTCAGGGCAATTAGAAAGGAAAGGAAGGCCAGGCGCGGGGGCTCACGCCTGTAATCCCAACACTTTGGGAGGCTGAGGCGGGCGGATCACGAGGTCAGGAGATCGAGACCATTCTGGCTAACAGAGTGAAACCCCATCTCTACTAAAAATACAAAAAAATTAGCCGGGCGTGGTGGTGGGTGCCTGTAGTCCCAGCTACTCGGTAGGCTAAGACAGGAGAACGGCGTGAACCCACGAGTTGGAGCTTGCAGTGAATGGAGATCATGCCACTGCACTCCAGCCCGGATGACAGAGCGAGACTCCATCTCAAAAAAAATAAAGAAAGGAAACTTAAAATTTGCATTATTTTACAAAGTGAAGATAATCTAATAATGGAAAAATTATTTGCATGGAAAGCACAGCAGGAAGTTTAGGTGCTGGGTTCTAAGTCTTTATTAAGTATTGGCTCTACAGAGCTAGATTATATGCTGAAGTGGAAACAGCTTAGGACCATCTCTAGCAGGATATTTTTCACTTTGCATTTCAGCTTCATAGTTAATATATTTTTATTGCAGAACCTGGATGAATCCAATCTGGAGTACTGGGTGAGATTATGAGGTGGCAGAAGGACTTGATCCTTGAGTCCTTGGGCATGAATAATTGAAATAAAAATAGATTGATGTTCTAAGTAAAGTACTAAAAGGCATTATAATTGAGAATCAGATGACTTACCAATGGTTTTTTGAGAGAGCTCTAAAAAAAAAAGAGAAAAGAAATCAGTAGCTATATATATATTTTATATATACTTTTTATTTATATACTTTAATTTGTATACTTTCCCTAGTAGGAATCTGCATCACTATTGTCAAGTTCAGCTGCAGTTGAGTAGTAGAAATGGTGACTTTCTTGCTATGGCAAACTAGTACATATAAGGGCCTCCTCATCTAAAAATCCCTTGTGTGATGCTGAGAAGCCATTGGAAATCTGCAAGGGTTCATTCTCCACTTTGTAGTTTGTTTTTATTGGTGAAGTGTACATTCACACAGCTAATCATGACTTACTGAAATGCTAGGTTGAAGAAAAATAAGGGTTGAAGAAAATGTGAACTCCAAACCCTTGAAATCCCAACATGGAAACCAGGTAGCGATCCCTAAGATACTGCAGGAAAGTAAAATGCTCACTGTGGAGAATCAGAGAGCAAACTTACTGATAGGTCCTGTAGCTCCGGCTGTGAGAGAGAAAGAGGGAGAAAGAAAAAGATATCAGTATGCTTCACCACTGTGAAGGAAATTTCCATTTCCCAACACTCGCTCTAGGGAGTATCATAAATAGAAACAACGGGAAGATCAAGAGTTGCTTGTATGGCAAGCCTCAGGCAGGCTCCCTGCACAATATAAGGGACCTACAGGAATGGAGGCCTCCTCCTGCTTTCAGTGATGGTTGAAAATCTTCAGAGGGTTGGGAAAGACTCACTCCATATTAATCTGTTATGCCTCTATTTTTCTTCTTACATTTTCTTGCCCCTTGCCCCTAGTTTCCTTAGAGACATAGTTTATTTGAAAGGTGTACCTTCCCTTGCTGATGGATCATTATGACTATTTCTAAGAGGGCTGTTTTGGTTTATATTTTTAAATGTTAGCCTGTGAGATTTCTTAACACTTCGTGCATGGCCTCTTTGGAAACTATGTAATAGGAATGCCAGGGGAGTTGAGAAAGACAGTGTTAAAAAAGCAAGTCACCGCTAAACCTCAGCATCACACAATATACCCATTAGCAAACCTGCATATGCACCACCGGAATCTAAAATAAAAGTTGAAATTATTTTTAAAAATGCAGGGCAGATCAGGCCCCAAGACCTTGTAGGTCAGATATCAAAGGGACCAGAGTGGAAAAACAAACTTGATACTTACGAATAGGGGCTGTGAATTGCACTGAAATACAAAAAGGAGGAAAGTGTGGTTTGACATTAATAGAATTTTCATTTTACCAGTATTGTTTCTAAAGAAACTATGAAGCAATTCAACCAGAGGAGAACAACTACTGTGGGACTGCAGATGATCTTAGCCTGGAAGCTGCATAACCCTCCTACCAGATCAAATCATTCAGCATCCATCTTAAATGAGAAATTTAAGTAACTAAAAATAATAAATATAAATAATTAAAATAAACTACAGTTTTAAACATGAATTATTTGGCTTTCCCTTGTCCTAAACTCAGTAGCAATTCAGGATATTGTGTCTGATTGCTTGGGCATCAGAAGGTGTCAGAAATTTGAATACAATTAAGAAGTATGAGTGAGAAATCCTGCAGGGGTAGAAATGGTAACAGTTAGGATGTGGAGAGGACCCTATATCCTACAGAAGGCCAAAGAACATTAGAGGAAACAGAAAAGGAACTCACTTATAGGTCTAATAGTTCCAGTTAAAATATGGAAAAAACAAAATAGAACTAATGAGAAAATACTGTTTGCATTTAAATTCTTCCTGGGAAAACATCACAAATGTAGACACCAGGAGCAAAATTTCCACTTCAGTGGAGGAACAAATAAAGTTTATAAATGCTTCTTTCTTCATCTTGGAGGATCCCGGTTACTGGTGGAATCTGCCAGCTGGAACTGTGGAGACGCACATTTGGTCAGGCAGTGTTCCTTCCCCTTTCCTGACGGGTGTCCTGCTTGTATCTCAGGAGATTACACAGGCCATTGCCTGTCTTCCAGCTGGCTAATTTGAACTTGCTTAGCTAGAATCTATAGCCTCATCTGAAGGAGACAGTGGGAATTGCTGTCTCTGTAGTGATTTTGGCCCTTATTCAACAGAGTAACTTGGCCTGCCATGTAAAAGGGAATAGAAACTGCTAGGTTGACTTAAGACATTTATAGGTATGAGTGGTGGGCAAAGGAATTGAGACACTAGACCCACATACTTGTTAATAATGCAGTAACAGTCTTCTTCTTTATGACCACACACACACATACACATACACACACACACACCCCACCACACCTCTCTACACCTCATAGGCTATAAGTGATTCTCTCACCTTGGCCTCCCAAAGTGCTGGGATTACATGTATGAGCCACTGTGCTTGGCCTAATATGTGCTTTTATGATACCTACCCAGTATTTGCTCTCAAAGTTTGACTTGATTATTTTAATAATGTTCCATTTGTGTAAATACTCCAAGAGGAGTAGACACAGGATGTGATATAACATGAGCTTTAATTATCAAATCACTTTTTTTCTCCTTCCTTCAGAGTTAGTCCTGTCTCAGGGGCTCAAGCTCTGAACATCCTCAAAAATGAAGGATAGAAATGTGTTAAGAAGTGAATGAAACCCTGATGAGTTTCATCTTTCTTGTCTTTGGCTTTAAGGTCACTCTTGGTGTGGGGAATCTGCAGGGCTGGAAAAGCTGGTTAAATTTGGACCAAGTGCATTCATCTTTTTATTTCCTCTCTCAGGGCAGAGAATTAAAATCCTGTAGAGCAATGGTTCTTAAACTTTGGTATGCACGCAAATCACCTGGGAATCTTATTAAAATGCAAAGTCTGATTTAGTAGGTCGGGGTGGGCAATAGGCTGAGACTCTGCATATCTAAAACTCCAGGGTGACATTGATGCAGGCCCTTGGACCCACTTTAAGCATCAAGGCCATAAAGGGCTGGCAAAATCTCAGATCATATAAAAGTCATTGTTTCCATTTACCATTTTTTTTCCTTTTTAAATCAACTTCCTCTCACTTATTCCTTATTCTCTATTCCCAACCAGTGCTTCTTCCAGAGATACATGCTACAGTTTCATTTAAAATTCTATCTGGATACTTATTTCAGATTTATTCTTTGTTCATAACAGGGGATATACATCCCACACAAACATCAGTGACAGTCTGGGATCCTCGGTCAGTGAGCTGGGACTCACTGCATGTCACTGAAATTTTCTTGGCGGGTCTTAAGTAGAATGGCCACCATCAAGCCTCTTTCTTTGAGTGTTACTGGGTTTTCTCACAGGGGAATCTTTCTTCCTTTCACTTGACCATTTTTTGTTCTTCACTCTTTTCCCTTTGCTGTTGAATCTCAAGATTTCGGAAAAGTTAAAGGCAATAGTACTTTCTTACAGAGGCACCCCAGTTTATTAAGATAAGAATAGGGAATAAACAAGGGGAAAGGAATGGACAATTTGTGAAAGAAATAAAAAAATCTAGGAATATGAGTGTCTTACATATTCTAACAGTTTAGTAAAGCAAAGCACATGAGAATTAAAGGGCAGAAAAAGAACTTACTCATGGCTCCTGCAGTTCTGGCTAAAATACAAACAAAAAAGGTGAGTTTGAAGAGAGCATGACTCAAGGGTGTTTATCTCAGGGAGTTTCAGATCAAGCATTTACTACATATTTGATTTACATGGAAAGGCAGCAAGAAGGTAAGTAGGCATTTTCCTTTTTTCCTTAGGAGACTGTTAAAATCATACTCCCTGCAGTTATTTTTCTTATTCTTAATTTTCATTATCTTCCTGCTGTCAAATCCTTCTAAAGGTTATAGATAATTTTCCCTGGCCCCAGAATCTTTTTCACAATTTCATTAATTAATCTAGTTTTTATTATAAGAATTTCCACTTTGTTAAATGAAAAAATTAATCAGTCACTTAGAGGATCTTGAAATCAGCCTCAAATTCCTCACACTGGTAAAAGAGAGAACAGTAAAATTGCAAGTTTTTCTCCTTTCCTCCATCTTTATGTGCTTTCTCACCACCTTCCCCATTCCTCTGGTAGCAGGCACATTATAGAAGATCAAAATCATTACACATGGTATGCATGTATCAAAATATCACATGTATCCCATAAATTTGTACAATTATTAGGTGTCAGTAAAAAAAGGACTGAGTTGTATATATGGGAAACTTACAAGGAAGTTCTTCAGTTGTTTGTAAACATTTTATACTACCTATAATAAAAATTGAAAAGTGTAACATTACTTAGATTTAGACTTTCAGAAGGCATGGAGATAGACAATCCCATTCCCTCCTCCCCCTCCTCAGGTGTGGTACAAACAGTCTTGAGGTTAAAGAGCTGAGTCCGACTTTTGCTATTCTCTAGCTCTGTGATTTTGGGCAAGTCACTAAATGTTTTGAACATTAATTTCCTCATCTCTAAAACAGAAGTTGTGTCCTCTGTCTTACCTATATTGTGAAGTTGCAGTGAAAAATCAGGAGTAATAACAGAAGGGAAAGATGAAAAGTTGTATTAGAAATGTTATGGAAAGAAATATTCAGTAACTATAAATGAATGAAACACTTCGGCAAAGTAGTAAGCTACTTTATATTTTACTTTTTTCTGCTTTAATTTTTCCTCTTATTTCTGACTGTCCTTTGGAAAGTTCTGAGTCCTGACAGCAGAGCATTATAATGTGCACTTAATTCTGTTTTTATTTTTGATTTATTAATTTCTGTTATTTTAATCTTTAAAACAACCCTATCTTCTTGTGTACCTTAGTACCTTAATTATGTCATTTTAATCTCTGTTGCTTCTGTCTTGAGAAATAACCAATCATATTTTAAGATGTTGAAAATTTTGCAATTTTTTTTCTTAAAGTAATTGAATAATTTGTTTCCTTCTTTGTGTATAATTATTTTTCCCTTATTTGTTACTTTGCTGTTTTGGGGAGGGAAATAGTAGCTTTCCCCAGAAATGACAGGATCTACCCTCAGCATTTGGGAAGAGATGTCTGTTTTTCTATGTGGTATTTTAGGCCGTCAATCACTGAACTGTCAGTTTCTTGAGAAGGTGAAGCCACTCCTACCACCAAATAAAGATAATTTTAAAAGGACAGTTTTCATATACTTAATTTTTTAAGATTTAAGATATTAACCTATGGTAGGAGTGACAAGTATACTTGAGTTATGCATATTTAATTTTGATCAATTATTAATGACTATCTGGAGATGACAAGAATTTTAGGATACATGTGAGCTGAGCAGGAAAGAGAATCATGATCAATTACTGATTTCTGCCACAGGCAAAGGCATGAGCAGAAATGTAACACAGGTCATATATATTCCATTCCTGACCTAAAGTAATATGGAATAATGAGGAGAAAGGAATTTTTCTTTCTTTTTTTTTTTTGAGACAATCTCTCTCTGTCACCCAGACTGGAGTGCAGTGGCACAGTCTCAGCTCACTGCAACCTTCACCTCCTGGGTTGAAGTCATTCTTGTGCCTCGGCCTCCTGAGTAGCTGGGATTACAGGCATGTGCCACCACGCCCGGCTAATTTTTGTATTTTTAGTAGAGATGGGGTTTCACCATGTTGGCCAGGCTGGTCTCAAACTCCTGGCCTTGAGTGATCCCCTCACCTCGGCCTCCCAAAGTGCTGGGATTACAGGTGTGAGCCTCCATACTGGGCCAAGAAAGGAAATTCTTGAACTGAGTATTTTGTGGCGTTTCCCAGCTGAAGACAAATAAGCAGGGCAGTGGAAGGTATTTACTTGTTGCCTTACAGAGTAAAGAAGAAGATAAAAAAAACTTACGATGTACTTATCCTGCCAAAATACTGAATATTGTGTGTTTTGGATTAAGGACATTGTCTCTGTGGATATTCTTCCTAATGGGAGCATCAGAGTTAGTTCTTTTAGAGAGTACCACATTTTCCATACCAGACAGAATTCCTGATTATCTCTGTGGGGATCGATCACAAACTCAGTTGCATTAAGGGGCCCAGCAGGTCTCATGATTGTGAATCTGCTAGTTATAAGGGATAGAGATGGTGAAAAGTCCATGCCCTACCCAGAGGCATTCAAATTCAAAATTTAAAATAATACCATCCTGACGAAACAAAACACATCTATAGGTGGCACTGGGCTAGTGGTGGCTAATTTGGGAGCTCCGTTTTCAGATGAGAAGAGATTTAAGTGAGCACCATCTATACTTCAACAACAGTGCACTTTGAAATCAGTATCATATGGTTGCGGCCTGAGTTGGGATAGGGCAAGTGAATCCCTTCCTTTTCGTTACTTTAAGGATAGGTATTGGTTGGATCACATTTAATTAAAACCTGTGAGTAATAAACTTGTTCAGATTGTGAAGCATCTGGAAGTTTTGATACCTTTTAGAAAAAATAATGAAATATGATATATTTAATTCCATCTTTGAACAAGAAACAACTTTGCTAGTAGGAAATGTGACCCTAATATGCAACCACAAATGTAATAGTCAGTATGAAAACTTTTGTAGGAAAAGCACATAGATCAGAAAAAAAACCCTGTCCAGTCAGGATTATCTGTTTTGGATTTTTTGCCGATTTCCTCACTTCCCTCCTCCTCATTCCTGTCACAGTCTTCCCTTCATTTAGAAAATGTGTTCTTTTTTTTTTCTTTTTGACAATCAATTGAAATCAGTTTCAGAAGGTTTATTTAAACTTTACCTCTTTGGTTTTCCTCCCTTCTCCATTCATTTTTTCCAGCTTCCCTCACTTCTCTGTTCTTTTTTTTTTTTTGAGATGGAGTCTCACTCTGTCACCCAGGTTGGATGGCAGTGTTGCGATCCTGGCTCACTGCAACCTCCTCTCCCAGGTTCAAGCAATTCTCCTGCCTCAGCCTCCCGAGTAGCTGGAATTACAGGAGCATACCACCACGCCCAACTAATTTTGTATTTTTGGTAGAGACGGGGTTTCAGCAGGCTGGTCTCGAACTCCTGACCTCAGGTGATCCACCTGCCTCAGCCTCCTAAAGTGTCATGATTACGGGCGTGAGCCATGGTGCCCAGCCTCTTCTCTGTTCTTTTATTTGATTAATTTTCAACTGGTTGTTGAAATTAGTTATGTAACGGACTTGAAATTTTAATGAGAGATTAAATAACTTGCCTATGTTCAAATAAATAGTAAGTAGGGAGCTGGGATACAACTCCAGTTAGCCTGGCTCTAGAGTCTGCATGCTTAACTGCTAGGCAATAGTCCTCTGTAAATTGAAAATAATTAACAAGCAAATTTATTTTAAAAGTGATTTTTTAGTAGGTCTTATTATATTATTCTCAATTCATGGAGAAATAGTGTATAGTTCAGATACGAAGTGAGCAATAACTTTTTCCTAAGCCTACAGTCAGAGTGTACAGCATAATTTCCTCCCTTGAAGGTAGGCTGTGATTAGAGAGGGACATAGTCAAGGGAGGATCTGTTTAAGATGGAAGAAAATCAAACCTGTTCTATACCTTAAGGAGAAGCAATTAAAGGAAGGAAAATATTTAAAGATGTAGAAGAGAGAAGAAATGACTTCTGAAGAAATAAGGGGGTGAGAGGATGTGGTCAAAGGCAAGAATAAAATAATTTGCTTAAGCAAGGTGGAAGGTCTCATTGTCTTAGAGAGGGGGAAATGTGAGAAAGGTGGGCATGATCCAGTTAAGATGGCTAATGAAGGACAAGGTGGAGAATTATGAGTCTTAAGCCCTTTCACCCTGACATAGCAGGAAACAGGAAATAGTTAAGACAGGGAGAAGTCCTCTGCCTAGTATAGGAGCCCAACAACACGAGAGTTTGAAACAAGAAGATAAACTTACTCATGGATCCTTGAGGTAAAGCTAAAGAACAATAACAATTATTCAAGTCAGTCTAAAGTTTCAATAATCCATCAATTTCCCAAAAGTCTTCCCAGAAATAGTGTCCTCCCTCAGGTTATTAGACTTTCCATTCGCCTGTAGGTAGGCTCATAAAGTGGCCACACTTGCAAGTGATCCCATGTCTTTTCCCCCTTAGACACTATGCAGGAGTGAAAGTTTCAGGGGAATATTCAGCTTTACTATATTTCCAATATTCTGATTTCATTCACCACCTTTCTCCTGTCTTTTCCGTTTCTCCCTCCCTCTTTCTTTCATCTTTTCAGTTTGGAGAGTCTTCTTTCCCTAATGTGATAGCCTCAAGAACCAAAGAAAGGCAATGTTACAAAGGTTCTAGTTTTATAAGAAAAGAAAACCGAGATTGAGAAAGGGAAGGGCTGTGCCTGAGTATGCAAAAAATTAAAGGCAGTTTTAGCTTCCAGTTTGCTTGACTTTAAGTTCAGCACGTTTTCCTTCATATTCTTTACAATTTTCTCTTCTTTCTGAATATTCCTTAAACATTTTTTTCTTTAACGTACTGACCATCTTCCCTCTCCAACATTTTGTTTCTGTTCTTTTTGTTCAGCTCTAAAATGTTTCTCTTGTAAAATAACCTAAATTCTAGGGCAAGACTTGTAGAAGGTTTAATGATATTAACTTTGATAGTAATTTGTACAAGCTACCATAGAATGAACCCTCACTATATTCAGTGGAGAAAGTCTGGGCATTAGTCTTATTTGTCTTACATTGACTGTTAAATGACTATGCAAAGTTTGATAATTCTCACCATCTTTTGGAACTGCATTTATTTAATTTAATTAATTAATTTATTTTATTTTATTATTATTGTACTTTAAGTTTTAGGGTACATGTGCACAATGTGCAGGTTAGTTACATATGTATACATGTGCCATGCTGGTGTGCTGCATCCATTAACTCGTCATTTAGCATTAGGTATATTTCCTAATGCTATCCCTCCCCCCTCCCCCCAACCCCCACCCCACAACAGTCGATCAATGACAGGGTTTAATAATTTTTCTTCTGCTCAACTTTTATGATTCAATGAGGCTAAATTCACAAACTAAAGCCCTGTGTTCTTGGGCCTTTTAGCCTTAGGGTAAGTTTTGGTAGGAGAAGCAAAAAGGCTGACTTTCTAGAAATAGGGCCTGCCTAGAAAGAGGTAAATAAGGAGGACAAGGTCCCTAGACAAACAAGCGTTTATGGTACTGAAACAACCAAGAACTTGCTCAATTCCCTTGTAAATTGTGCTAGATACCCACATCTCTAAGTGCACGTCAATTGCTTAAAAGCATCAGCGTTAATCCCCCTTTGAAAAGAAGATCAGAAAAAAAATCCCTCACACTACCCTCACCAGGGAGCATCAAATCCTCTATGCCAGCTGTAGTGTGATTTTTTCATGGATTGTTTAGGCATCTTATATTTTGGTGGTGTGGCCGAGGCCCAGAATGACATGTAGGACTGATGATGAGCAGAGAAGGTGATTCCCTTTTCCTTTTCTTCTCAGCCTTTGTAAAGACTGAAACTGTTAAGGGAACTTGGAAGACCTTAGGTTTTTTTTGGGGGGCTGGGGTGGGGGGGACAGGGTTTCACTCTGTTGCCCAGGTTGAAGTTCAGTGGTTGCATAGCTCACTATAACCTCTCACTACTGGGCTCAAGTGATCATCCCAACTCAGCCTCCCATGTAGCTAGGACTACAGGCATGCCACCATGCCCTACTGATTCTTTTAATTGTTCTGTAGAGACAGAGCCTCACTATGTTGTCCAGGCTGGTCTTGAGTTCCTGGCCTCCAGGATCCTCCTACTTTGGCCTCCCAAAGTGCTGGGATTACAGGTGTAAGCCACCATGCTTGGCCCTTAGTCTTTTTTTTTTTTTTTCTTTTTCAGGTGGAGGACCTTAGTCTTGATTAAACTTTCTGTAGTTTCCCTATGTGCTCCCTTCTTATTATCTGTTTGCTCTCATTTCTCTTTCCTAAATTGAGAAATAGAAAATAAACTGAAATACGGTTCCTGGAATTGGCACTGAGGAATAATAATAAAAATTCACATCCGTCTGAGTTAATTGGTTTATAAAGTATATAATTCTCACCGAAATCATTTTAGAAAGGGGACCCTTGATTAGGTCTCATTAAGTACAATGGGCCATCAACTACTAGAATGCTTGGGTTTGAATTCTGGTTCCTCTACTTACTAGCTGTGTTACTCTGCCTGTTTTTTTTTTTATGCCTAAGTTTATTCATTTTAAAAATAGGATTTATAATATCTACTTTCTAGGATTATTATGAAGAAAAAATGTTTAGGACAGAGCCTGGAGCATAATGCTCAACACATATTATTATATCATCATTTCAGATTGCAGTCCTTATCTTTTTATACATGTATGGGTAATGGACCATAGTCTCCTCTATCTTGGGCACTACGCTAGTTCAAGATTTTCAAGGAAATAATAGGATCAAGTCCTTTGAGGTCCTGGTTTGAGAGGCCCTTTCTCGAGTTATCACAGTCCAGTGAATTGCCTATGAGAATTATCTCTCAAGAGGGCCTCATCCATTCTGTAGGACCACACGTCATCTTGAGCTTCAGGGATGAATAGCTTCCTGTGGCCCTATGCATCTTTCAGCTAAATACTCTACATAACTAATTACTCATCATCCTTTGAGATTAATCCCAAAATGTGTCATATCCTCATTTAATTTACTCACCATCCAAAGACAATTCCTCATCTTAAGGATGCTTATTATCATAATGCTTTTTATAATTCCTAATCGGACGTTCCTTCCACCTCTCCTTACTCCCTAAAACACACCATGCTGTCTGAAATTCATATCAGCAAATTTTCCTGTATCTTTAACTTCTCCAAACGTTTTCTTCACCGTCTTGCTTTAATATTCCTGTCTTTTAAAATACTGTATCTCAAGCCTGGGTGCGGTGTCTCATGCCTGTAACCCCAGCAATTTGGGAAGCCGGGGAGGGCAAATCACTTGAGGCCAGGAGTTCAAGACCAGCCTGGGCAAGATGGCAAAACCCTGTCTCTACTAAAAATACAAAAATTAGCTGGGTATTGTGGCGCACGCCTGTAATCCCAGCTGCTTGGGTGGCTGAGGCACAAGAATCGCTTGAACCCGGGAGGTGGAGTTGCAGCGAGCCGAGGTTGCACCCTGCACTCCAGCCTGGGTAACGGAGTGAGATTCTATCTCAATTTTTTAAAAAAATACTTATCTCAGATGTTGCTCAAAGCATACAAAATTGCAGTTAGATGAGAGGAATACTTTCAGGAGATCTATTGTATAACATGGTGATCGTAGTTAATAATGTGTTATACTTGACATTTGCTAAGAGAGTAGATTTTAAGTGTTCTTACCACAAAAAGTATGTGAGGAAATGGATATGTTAACAGCTTGATTTAGTCATTCTACAATGTATACATATATCAACACATTATGTTGTATACCATAAATATATACAATTTTGTCAATTAAAAATTATAACATTTTTAAAAAACCATGTCTCTTACAGCCCTCTTAGATTTTTTTTTTTTTTGAGACAGGGTCTCACTCTGTCACCCAGGCTGGAGTGCAGTGGCGTAATCACAATTCACTGTAGCCTTGACCTCTTGGGCTCAAGTGATCCTCCCACCTCAGCCTTCCAAGTAGCTGGGACCACAGGTGCACACCACCATGCCGGCTAATTTTTTATTCATTGTAGAGACAGGGTCTCACTCTGTTGTTGAGGCTGTGATGTCTGGTTTTTTGTACGTTTGTTTTAGAAAAAATCCATACCCATATACATGCCTGAATATAGGTAAATGTCATTTTTGCTCCCCATTGCTGTTTCCGAACAGTCTTCTCCAGTAGAAACTCCTGTTGTCTTTGAAGCACATATGAGACTTTACTCTGTACCTCTCTCCTTCTTGCCATCATAAATAAATATGATGGTCATTCTCTCCCATTTCATTCTCTACCAGAAGCCAGGGTTGCCTTTTTAAAGCATAAATGTGGCTTTATCCCTTCCCTGATGAAAACAATGGCTTATTGTGGTGCTCAGAATTGTTCTCCATATTTTATTCTAAAAGACTTTTTGTGATCTGGCCTCTCCCTACCTTTCAAACTCCTCCACGATCTTTCACAACTGGCCTTCCCGCAATCTCTCATACATGCTACTCTTCTTCCCCTCTGAGGAACTTGGTGTTCTTTCTGCCTGAGATACTCTTCCCTAAGATCCTCCTGTGGCTGCCAGCTTTTCGCCATTCAGAGTCAGTTCAGATATCTCCTCAGGGAAATTTCTTCTAATCTCCTAGCTAAAGGCCCTCACTTCTTGGTCTTGCTCTATCATATTATCTTAATTTGTTTTCTCCGTAGAATTTACTATGATAGTCTAGTAATCATAGTAGGAATTATCTAGAAAGGGAAATCATTGTATTTGTTTGCTTATGTGTTTATTTTCTGTCTTACCTCACTAGAATCTATGCTGTCTGTGAAATACTTATGTTGTCTTAGGTATAGCAGCTGCAGTGCTCTAAATGATTTCCCCTTTGGAGGGTTTTTATGGCAAGCCTGTCTCACATGGGTCCTCTGCAGATTTTGCTGAAGAAACTGAAGATTTGAGTTTATTGTTTAGCATGTTTCAACTCCCAAATATTTTACCCTTTCCATAAGTTAGATGCAAACAAAGTAAAACTAGATAAAACATGTTTTAATTATAAAAGTAATAAAATATTGAGCTTGATAGCTTTCTAAGGGCACCTGTTCACAGTTGTATATACAACAAAACAGCCTTATTCATGGGATAAGGTTATGGCACAGTATTGGATTAGCACACTAATTCTGATATTTTATATTAATTTACATTTTAAGATTTTCAAATTACATTTTAAAAATTGAAGTAATATATTTTTAACATATGCATGATTTTCTAAATTCCTTGGAACAAACATTTTATTTCCAAAGAATACTTTGGATTGGAAGAGTAAATACATTTAATGATGTCCTGGGGGTAGTTGGACAACCTCAGGACTTGGAGTCCAAAGGCCAGTGTTTAGAACCTCAGTTTTACTCTTTTGCTAGCTATATGCCTTGGGTCAAGTTAAATAATATCTTTAAATTTCATTTTTTCCTCATGTGTAATATCTGTAAATAGTCAAGAAAGATGACTTGCTTTAATTACAAACCTCTCCTTGTCCCCTACTCCCATTCCCTGATCTCTTCACAAGCCTCTCTCTTCTTCCCTCCTATTCCTAAGTTAATGAATTTATTACTGTTTTGCTGAAACTATGATTGCCAGCTAAAACCATTTTAATCCTCTCTTTATTCTTTAATCGGTGGACTTCTCATTCTTCGAAGTTCTCATTAATTTTAGACAAAATGCTCAATGATGGGGAAGGAAAAGGAGGTGAGGGACAAAATCTCAGCAGGGTTAGGGAATGTTCCTTAGTTCTGTGACACACTAAAGAGACTTAGAATTTGGAAATATGAAATTTCCCTCCTTGCTCTCCTAAAAGTAAATATAAACAAAAAATTCATGTGGTTGTCTGGCTCAAAAACTATCCATTTCTTTCTTTTTTTTTTTTTTTTTGCAGGGGACAGGGCAGGAATGAGTATCAGAACCAGGAACGCCTGGGAGCACCAAACCCTTAGTGTCAGTTGCAGCTCAGGGGGATAGGGAATTAGCCATCTCTTCCATTGCTGCCAGCCTGACTTGGGGATGCCTCAAGGAAGGCTGCCCTTTCGTGCTAGCCATGTAAAGCTTTAAAATTCTGAGGACACAGCTAATATCATTTATCCCTCATTCTATATTATCCTCATCCTCATCTTATTTTTCTTACTAACTTTTTGCTCTTATCCTTTATTTACTCTGTTTTCCCAACACTTCAGGTTTGGAAATTGCTCTCTTCATGTCATCATAATAAACCACTAGAAACTTGCATTTACTTTTGACTGATTATTGAAGTGTCTGGTTATGGAGAACAAAGAAATTGGAGAAATGTGAAGCTTAAGCTTCTGCTGTGCTGCAGCGAAGAAGTCTGGGAAGTTTAGGAAGATATCCTCTTGATTAACTGGGGCTAAATGTCAGCAGAATTGAAGAAAAGTAAAGGAACTTACCAATACTTGATCGAGACAGTGCTAAAATAAAACACATCAAAAGAAGAATGAGTTCTGTTTGTCCCAGGGAGAACTTAGATGCCATAGACACTATATTGCAGAAAGGTTGTGGAAAAGAGGATAGAAATGAGTCACAACTTATTTCCTGGTATCAATTGCAATGCAATGTGGTGAGCAGCTGGATATCTACATATGGATTCCAATACTTTTGTGGTAAGGTGGGACTACAAGATCTATGCAACCTGTCTTTCAATTTTGGTAAGAGAATAAAAATATTTTTGGAGATTGCTAGTTTCTCAATCTGAGGACATTTTTCTGTCCCTATAAGTCTTCTTTCATTGGTGATTCTGCTGCTCTGTTCTTTCCTTCTCTACCTTTCCTCCACCTCTTCCTCTCTCTCCTTAATTTTCTGTTTTCCCTTTGTTCGAAAAGATTTTTTGTTACACCAAACAATTACCACCTAACTGCTTCAACAGGGGTTTCCACTTTCCAAAATTCACTTGTGCCCTATGGAGGTGAAGAATAGCAAGAGACCAAATCAGGAAGTTCTTGAATAATATTAGAAGCTAAAGAGTCAAAGTAGTGAAAGTATTTAGAACCTCGGGGCTTACTGAAAGGGTGCTTGCTATTGAGGGGAATATTTCATCCTCTCCTTTAAGTGATTACTTTGAACATGGTATTTTTTAAAGTTTATAAAGTAGAGCTGAGCTTGAAAACTAAAAAGAGAAGTAATATATTCAAGAAAAATATATCAAGAAGGAACCCATATTCTTGGTAATGAATGAGAAGTTTTACCACCCATGTGATACCTTATTGGGGGACTGAGGCTTAAACACCTGATCACCAGCAGAAATCAAGGCCATAGGCCTCATGCATTGTAAGAACCTGGGATTATCTTCCTGTTTAATATGTTAGGTTACATGGAAAAAGGGAATTAATATTGCAGATGAAGTTAAAGTTGCTAATCAGCTGACCTTAAAATAGGATGATGATTTTGGTATATCTGAGTGGGCCTAATATAATCACAAAGATTTTTAAGAGTGGGAGAGGGAGATAAAAGAGAGTAAGAGAAAGAGGTACTACAGTGGAAGAAGGGCAGAATGGTGTGATGTGAGGACTTGATTCATTTTTGTTCACTTTGAAGATAGAAGAAGGGAGCCATGAACCAAGGAATGTGGCCAGCCTCTAGAAGCTGAAAAAGCAAGGAAGCAGATTTGTTCCTAGAACCTCCAGAAAGAATGCAGTCTTGCTGACAACCTGATTGTTGTCCAGGGAGACATATATGACAGATTTATAACCTATGGAACTGATAGATAATAAATTTGTGTTGTTTTAAGCCATTAAGTTTGTGGTAATTTGTTAGAGCAGCTATAGAAAACTAATACAACGTGGTTGACTATTTCCCCAAAATTCCCTTGTAGTTAGGTGTGGCTATATGCTTGAGTTCTAGCCAATCTAATGTTGTTAGAAGTGATATGAAAGTCATCCAGGCTTGTTTGTAAAGTC
Source organism: Homo sapiens (assembly GCF_000001405.40). Lineage (NCBI taxonomy): Eukaryota > Metazoa > Chordata > Mammalia > Primates > Hominidae > Homo > Homo sapiens. The sequence goes on from NT_167247.2 coordinate 3,693,004, forward strand.
ATCCACTCATGATCTTCAAGCTTTTTTCTTTCTGTTCACTTAAGGTGGACTAACATGATGAACTTAGGAGCCATTATTTGAAGATGGTGGAGTCATTAGTTAAGATGAATTTGAGTGCCTAAGACACTGCTGAGAGAAGGGCCATCCGCCAATCTGGAATTCCTGTTTTGGACTTCTCATAAGTAAGAAATAAAATTCTATTAGGGAAAACCACTGAGATTTTAAGATCCGGGGCTAACTTAATCAGTGCAGATAAGAAATATAAAAGAGAAGTCACAAGATCTGAAAGATGGAAGGAAAATCTTTACATACATAGTAATTTTAGAAGTAGAGACTACAGTTTGTTGTTAGATATAGATATAAATATGGGCAAAATTCATAGCAATTAAAGTTAAATTTTTCTGTAATTAGAAAGATTGAGTCCACAGAATGGAAACTCTTGAATGTTTATGAGTGTGAGATTAACTTCATTTATCCTGCTCAGAGTAAATGGAAGCATTCAGGATTTTCCATTGTGGGTGTGAGATTCACTTCATTTATCCTGCTCAGGATAACCTCACACTCATAAAAAGTTAATCTCACACCTATAAACATTATAATTAAATGCAGAACACAAAAATAAAGAGAATCTTGAAAATATATTTACTTAGGAACAAACATCAAACTAGTGATAGATTCTTATCAACAATAATAAATAATAAACAACAAGCAAATGGAATAAATCTTCAAAGTACAGAGGGAAAATAATGTTCAATTCTATACCTAGCTAAATTTTCATTTAAGGCTGAAGGTGAAGTAAAGCTATTTTCAGCCATATGAAGGCTTAGAAAATTTTTCACATACATGTAGAGTTTAAAGAACCAGTAAAGGATTGTATTTGGGCAAGAAATAGAAGAGAAAAGACACAGGATGTAGCAAATAATGTTAAGCAAAAACAATGCTGAAATATTGTTGTAAGTCTAAGTAATAATTAATTGTGAAAATAAATAATTATTTTGTCTTTAAAAAGAATACCACAAACAAGATGGAGAATTTGGAAAGAGTAGTTTGGAGGGAAGATGGTCAAATAAAAGTTATTATCTAGTCTTGGAAGAAGATACCGATTATCTTTAATTTTTAAAGAAAAATTAAATAGTACACATGTTACAAATATCAGGATACATAAAACAAAATCCAGAAAAACACTAAGTAAAACAAAAGAAACAAGGAATTCTAATATACCAGCAGAAGGTAGAAAAGAAGATTTAAAAATGAAAGAACAGAGCATAGTACTGTAAGTTGAAAACACAATATAAATTGGAAACATTTAGATAAACATATAACAATTCACAATATAAAATGAACTAAATTCATCTATTAGGAAACAGAAAATTTTACATTGTTAATATGAACAAAGTCAAGCAATATGCCATTTAAAAAAGACACAAGACAAAAACAAACTTTTAAGGTTCAAAATAAAAGGATGAAAAATAGGCAAATACTAATTAAAACAAAGGTGTTAGAACAATGCTAATATCAGAGTGTAGAATTGAAGTAAAAAAATAGTCATGAGGATATGAGTGGATATGAGGATATGAGTTTCAGCAGCATTTAGAAGTTACTTAGATACTTATATTAGAAAATAAGAGCGCCCACTTTGGCAGCATATATACTAAAATTGGAATGATACAGAGAAGATTAGCGTGGCCCGTGTGTAAGGATGGCATGAAAATTCATGGTGTCCCATATAAAAATAAAATAAAAAAAGAAGATGAGAAAGTCTGGAAATTGATTAAGAGTTTCATACAGCAAGCTAGAAAAAGGAACAAAAATAAAGCAAAAGTAAAGAGAAGGAATTTTACCCATAGATATACATAGCCCAAGCTATGACAAGAAAATGGTTTTAAGAATTGGAAAAGGAAACTCAAGATTATCAGATTTTGCAGATGACATGATTTTTTACATATAGAATTCAAAAGAATCTGAAAATTATTAGAACTCTAAGAGCACAGCAGGGTGGCTAGATACAAAATCTACTCTCAAATATACAACATATAACTTATATTCCAACAATAATTATTTGTAAAATCCATGTAGAGAGATAGTATTAACATCCGAAACAAAAAACAAGTATGTGTATAAGAATTAATGCAGCAAAAGACATGCAAGACCTTTCTGAAGAAAATTATATTACATTATTGAAGGGTATATGAGAAAATTTGAATAGTAGGCAACCATGTTAATGCATGGGAATAATTGATTTTACAAATTAATCTACAGGCTCAATGAAATTTCAATGAAATCCTAATATGACTCATAGATTTTGAGAAATTATGAAATTCTTGTGTAAGAGAAAAGGTCAAAGAATAGCCAACACATTTCTGAAAAAGAACAAAGATAATGTGCTATTTTTTGTAATGTTATAAAGTTTTAGTAGTGAAAGCAATGGAGTATTGGTTCAGTAAAAGACAAAAGATCACTGGAACAGAAAATAAAATCCACGGAAAAACGAAATATATAAGATGAAGATGGCATTACAAATCAGCAGAGAAAGAATGCACCAGTCAATAAATCTAGTTGGAACAAGATGAGACGAAATCCCTCTAGTTGGTTTTCCAGATGAAAGGAAAATTAGATCTCACCTGTATTATTACTAAAATCACTCACCAAAACCAAAAAACAATTAACAAAGCCCCATTTGGATTAAAGTTCTATATGTAGAAAGGGAAATTTCAAAACTATTAAGAGAAAGTATTAGATAAAATCTTTGTGATACCCAGATAAGGCCAAAGAAACTAAAAAGCAGAAACTCTAAAAGAAAACAAGAGATTGACAAATTTTATTACAATAAATTGTGTGGTGCTGGGGGAGAGTGAGTAGAGGCCTTCTAAAAGTCAAGAGACAGCATAAAAATTTAAAGCTAAGAGACAGAATTGGATGAGATAATTGCAGATATTTAACATAACATATAAAAGTTGATCTTTCATAATAATAAAGAATTACTACAGATCAATAACTAATAGATAAATGGGTAAAGTAAATGAACAAGCAATTTATATAGGGTGAAGCCTCACTAGCTAGTAAGCCTATGAGAAGATACTCAATTTCAGGAGTGAGCAGGGAATGCAGATTTTAAAAATTGTATACGTATTCAAGTGGCAATAATAGAAAAATATGACAAAATCTGGGATTGTTACTAATGCAGAGAAATTGGAAATATTTATTTATTTTTGTATGCCTCTATGTAACTACCAAGGAGCTTAATTAATAGCTACTAAAATTTAAAATATGCATAAATTACATAAATGCTCATATACAATGTGAACACTAATCCTACTTCAGGGTATGTACCCCGGATAAACTCTTTTCCATCTACTTAAGGATTGTCTTTGCAGCATTATTTGTGATAGCAGAAATTGGAAACATTGAGAATGCATCGGTAGTAGAAATAATAGAAAAATATTGTATATTCATAAGGTGGAATATTATTCAACAAAGTGTATAACCTGGATTTCAAAACTACATTTTGAGAGAAAAATGCAAATCGTAATGATACTATCAGACAGATGCCATTTTAGTAAAATTAAACATTAAAAAAAGATACTATATTTTGTTCAGTGATAGGTAGAGACTATAAATATATGTAAATAGACTTAAATATTTAAAATATATTAATAAGCCTTTGGGAAGAAGGGAGTGGAATATGTCTATGATAACTTGAGAAATATGACAAGAATATTATCAATTTGTCACATCTAAGGTGTGATATACAAGTGTTAATTATTTTTATACTTAATTTTAAAAACTTTCTTAAAAGAGAAAAAATACAGAAAAAATAGGGCTTGCAAACCAGATGACAGTAGAATTGAAAGAAAACCACAAAGCACTTACCTAGAGAGTTGGTTGATGGTGCTAAAATACACACACAGAAAACATGAGGTGAATCATGAGAGTTTGGATCCCTAATCTTTACATATCAGCTTCAGTTGCTGTCACCCCCTTCTCAGGAGTTAAAGTCTAGGCCCCGGGAGTCATCACTGATCTGGTGATGGGTACTGACAGCCACTCCCACCAGCTACTGCATATGCTTTCCATCTCTAAAAATGGGTTTAATTTTTAGTAGGCAGATGCCATTCCTACTGCCCTAATTCCTCCCTCCCTTTTTTCCCTCTCTATTTTCTTCTCTCTCTCCCTTTTATCTTTATTACTTTCCTTTTCTCTTGCTCATCACTTCTATTGTTTTCCTTTTCTCCCAGCCAGATCATTCTAAACCAGCACTAGAAAACTTTATCTATTGCTTAGTATTCATATGACTTGACATATGACAGGATTTCTCTTTCCTCCAAAGCATTTACAATCTAGGGAAATGTTACTAATAGGAAGCAAATTTTTGTTAAGAAGCAAGATAATACTTACTGTAATCTCTTTTGGATCTCTCTGAAAACATAAACAAAAGAAAGAAAAATCAATTTGGATATTCTATTTCTGTAGTTTTGGTATCACTACAGAGGATTACCCAGTCAACACCCTCAAATATCCAGTTAGGCAAGAAACTGGAGACAAAATCTCCTCATGGCTTAATTTATAAGTTTAATGACATTAAAAAAACAGGCAGAGTTTAATTAAGGTAAATACATGTAGTGAGAAGAAATAATAAACTATACATGCAAACATTGAAACAGAAGAATGTATAGTTATAAGGTAAGTTGAGGTCAAATAAAAGAAGGAATGGCAAAATATTTACTCAGCTGACTGAGAATTCAAGTTCAGTGACAATATGGCAAATTATAATGAATGCAAATGTGTATATTGATTGCGATTGAATGTGCATCCTATGATCTAAAACTTGTTTCTTAGTGATGTCATGGAAACAGACTTTCTAAAAGATCTGGAGACAAAGCAAATTACATGGAAAACTAGTCATGTTATCACTGTTGTTTTCATAAAAGTGTAAAAGTAAATAGTAATATTGATACTTTGTAGTTGATTTAAATTATGTTGAATCATAATATCATTTGCTATTTCACTAAAGTATAGTTAAAGATCTACTCAGAAATGTGAAGACAATAGTATTTTTTTTTCAGCTTCTTTTCTGAAAATGAGTGCTCTCCTTCCATACTTGGCAGTCATTGTGATGGGAATTAAGTACAAAACACATTCTCTGTTTTATAATAATGTTTCTTGTTTCTCATGGTTCTATGGGGATTTTAAAAACGGTGTCTCAAGCCTGTAGTCCCAGCACTTTGGGAGGCCGAAGTGGGTGTGTTACCTGAGGTCAGGAGTTCGAGACCAGCCTGGCCAACATGGTGAAACCCTGTCTCTAGTGAAAATACAAAAATTCTCTGGGCCTGGTGGTACACGCCTGTAATCCCAGCTACTCAGGAGGCTGAGGCAGGAGAATTGCCTGTGCCCGGGAGACGGAGATTGCAGTAAGCCGAGATAGTGCCACTGCACTCCAGCCTGGCCCACAGAGCAAGACTCTGTCTCAATGAAAAAAAAAAGGGAAAATACATCAAGATGTTAATAGAGTTGCCACAAAAATGGAAAATACCACTGAAATGCCGAACATTTTAATATGCTGCACTTGAAATTTGTTATAAAAACTTTCATGCGCTGCACTTAACATTTGCTAGAAAAATACTAAGAATAAATTTAATTTCAAAAAAATTTTGGAATAACCATGGCAGCTTTTATATGTGATATATTTAAGTTAAACTAAACTTTGAGTACTAAATTTCATGTACCTAAACTAACATAATGACCTTACCTAATATTAATATCTTCCTGCCAGAAGATTTCTATAGTCTCAAGTTGACCAGTACATTTATATTCCTATGTCTAGAAATAATGGAGGGAAGACTAGCAGGGCGTGGGAACCTAGAAACTTAGGATGACTGAGATTTATAGGTTATGTTAGGGGGACTGGAAAGTCAGAGAAATAGTCATTTGGGTTTATGAATTTTAAAGTATGACTTATTGAAACAACAATAAAATGTTTACTGATTCAAGTTTTTCCTTAAGAATGCAAGGGAGCCCAGATTAGAAAGATACTAAGATTGTAGGCTTGTACACTAAAGATCTGTAAACAGGAAATTAAAAATTAAGATATTACTAAATTACATAAGAATAAACTCTCTGACTGCCTAAAATTTGGAATTAGACAATTCTAAATTCCTATCCAGGTTGTCACTTCCAAGTCCTGTGGCCTTGGGCAAGTCATTAATGTTTTTTAAGCATAAGTTTCTCTTCTGTAAATTAGGGATAACAATAGTAAATTACTTTCTTCATTTAAGAGGTACTTATTAAGGATCTCCCTCGCTGTGGTGAGGTGAATAGACTATAAGAAGGCAAGAGGAGTATCAAGGAAACAAGGTAGGAGGCAAGAGATATTGGTGTTTGGGCAAGGATTGTCATGGTGGTGGAAGGTGGTTTGATTTGGAGTATAATTTGAAAGCATCAGAGATGGGATTTGATGGTGGATTGGATGAAGAGAGTAGGAAAGGAGTTAAATATCATTCCAAGGTAGATAGTCTGAGCAATTAGGTGAATACAGGTGCTAGCACCAGTGTGTAGAAGGGATTAGGGCTTGGGTTTTAGACATGCTAAGAGTGAGATGCCTTTCATATATCTTCAGGACACGTGTGCTATGATTATATAGGTTGGCTCACTGCACAAAGGGTTAAGGGAACTGAAATCCACAACAGTGTCTCTGGGGTGGGGCTGCATTCACTTGCAGGAAGGAACACCTTTTCCTAATATGCACCAAAGCAACCTGTAGGCTACTGGAGGCCTTGGACAGCCAGGGAGGGATTTTTGGGTAGCTCATCTTTGTGTGGTTGACAGGGTTGTTTGTAGATATTCAATATTAATAAAATGAAAAAATGCTCACCAGAATGACTAACATATAGTAGGTGCTGAGTACATGTTAATTCTCCTCCCTTCTTATAGTGTGTAGTTTTATTTTGCTTATCCGTGTACCCTTAAATTCCTAACACTGAGGTAGCTTCTTGCACTGGTTAAATCTGGTATTCTGGTAGACTGTTACTGGAGAGGTTTTTTCCCAAGAAATATGAGATGTAAATGACAACAGTAGACAACAGCAGTATTTCTTTGCACCCTTGGAATTTTATTGCACAAGTCATATCTTAATGTGATGAACTTTTAAGAATTTATTCCTTGATTTCTTTTTATTATTATTATACTTTAAGTTCTAGGGTATATGTGCACAACATGCAGGTTTGTTACATATGTATACATGTGCCATGTTGGTATGCTGCACCCATTAACTCGTCATTTACATTAGGTATATCTCCTAATGCTATCCCTCCCCACTCCCCTCACCCCACAACAGGCCCCGGTGTGTGATGTTCCCCTTCCTGTGTCCAAGTGTTCTCATTGTTCAATTCCCACCTGTGAGTGAGAACATGAGGTGTTTGATTTTTTGTCCTTGCGATAGTTTGCCGAGAATGATGGTTTCCAGCTTCATCCATCCATGTTCCTACAAAGGACACGAACTCATCCTTTTCTATTGCTGCATAGTATTCCATGGTGTATATGTGCCACATTTTCTTAATCCGGTGTATCATTGATGGACTTTTGGGTTGGTTCCAAGTCTTGGCTGTTGTGAATAGTGCCGCAATAAACATATGTGTGCATGTGTCTTTATAGCAGCATGATTTGTTTTATTATTATTATTATTATACTTTAAGTTTTAGGGTACATGTGCACAATGTGCAGGTTAGTTACATATGTATACATGTGCCATGCTGGTGCGCTGCACCCACTAACTCGTCATCTAGCATTAGGTATATCTCCCAATGCTATCCCTCCCCCCTCCCCCCACCCCACAGCAGTCCCCAGAGTGTGATGTTCCCCTTCCTGTGTCCATGTGTTCTCATTGTTCAATTCTCCTTTGGGTATATACCCAGTAATGGGATGGCTGGGTCAAATAGTATTTCTAGTTCTAGATCCCTGAGGAATAGCCACACTGACTTCCACAATGGTTGAACTAGTTTACAGCCCCACCAACAGTGTAAAAGTGTTCCTGTTTCTCCACATCCTCTCTAGCACCTGTTGTTTCCTGACTTTTTAATGATCGCCATTCTAACTGGTGTGAGATGGTATCTCATTGTGGTTTTGATTTGCATTTCTCTGATGGCCAGTGATGATGAGCATTTTTTCATGTGTCTTTTGGCTGCATAAATGTCTTCTTTTTAGAAGTCTCTGTTCATATCCTTCACCCACTTGTTGATGGGGTTGTTTGTTTTTTTCTTGTGAATTTGTTTGAGTTCTTTGTAGATTCTGGATATTAGCCCTTTGTCAGATGAGTAGATTGCAAAAATTTTCTCCCATTCTGTAGTTTGCCTGTTCACTCTGATGGTAGTTTCTTTTGCTGTGCAGAAGCTCTTTAGTTTAATTAGATCCCATTTGTCCATTTTGGCTTTTGTTGCCATTGCTTTTGGTGTTTTAGACATGAAGTCCTTGCCCATGCCTATGTCCTGAATGGTATTGCCTAGGTTTTCTTCTAGGGTTTTTATGGTTTCAGGTCTAACATTTAAGTCTTTAATCCATCTTGAATTAATTCAATGAGTAGTTAGCATTTGTGAGATCTGGGATGTTGAATTTCTCTTGACTACTCAGATTATTTTTTTCTTTTCTTTAGCTTTATTGAGGTATAATTATAAAAATTATATATATTTAAGGTATTACAGTGTGTGATTCTAATATATGTATACATTGTGAAATGATTGCCACAATCAAGCTAATTAATATATCTACCACTTCAAATACTTACTTCTATTTTTCATTTTGTGATGAGAATATGTAAAACCTACACTCTTAGTAAATTTCAAGTGTATAATACATTATAGTCACCATGCTGTACATTGGGTCTACATAACGTATTTGTCATAAAACTGCAAGTTTGTACCCTTTGGCCAACTTCTGCCCATTTCTTCCACCCCCTAACTTCTGGTAATCACCTTTCTGCTGAGTTCAACTTTTTAAGGTTCCATATATACATGAGATCATGTAGTATTTGTCTTTCTATGCGTGGCTAATTATACTTAGCCTAAGGTCTTCCAGGTTCATCCATGTTGTCACAAATGGCAAGATTTCTTTCTTTTCCTAAGGCTGTATAATATTTCATTGTGTGTGTGTGTGTGTATGTGTGTGTGTCTGTGTATCACATTTTCTTTATCCATTCATCCACTGATGGACACCTAGTTTATTCCTCTATCCCGGGTATTGTAAATAATGCTGCAATGAATATGGGAGTGCAAACATCTCTTCAGGATAATGATTTTTATTTCCTTTGAATATATGCCCAGAAGTAGCATTCCTGAATCATATGGTAGTTCTATTTTTAATTTATTGGAGGAACCACAATATTGTTTTCCATAATGGCTGTATTACTTTACATTCCTAACAACAGTGTACAAGGGTTCCCTTTTCTCCATATCCTTGCCAACACTTGTTATCCCTTGACATTTTGAATGCATCCTATCTGGTGTGAGGTGCATTTCCTTGATGATTAGTGATATTGTGCACCTTTATTTATTAGTTGGCTGTAAGTCTTCTCTGAAAAAATGTCTATTTAGGTCCTTAGTCCATTTTATTTTATTTTATTTTGTTTTTTTCTCTCTCTCTTTTTTTTTTATTATACTTTAAGTTCTAGGGTACATGTGCACAATGTGCAGGTTTGTTACATATATATACATGTGCCATGTTGGTGTGCTGCACCCATTAACTCGTCATTTACATTAGGTATTTCTCCTAATGCTATCCCTCCCTGCTTCCCCCACCCCGCAACAGGCCCCAGTGTGTGATGTTCCCCACCCTGTGTCCAAGTGTTCTCATTGTTCAGTTCCCACCTATGAGTGAAAACATGCAGTGTTTGGTTTTCTGTCCTTGCAATAGTTTGCTGAGAATGATGGTTTCCAGCTTCATCCACGTCCCTACAAAGGACATGAACTCATCATTTTTTATTGCTGCATAGTATTCCATGGTGTATATGTGCCACATATTCTTAATCTGGTGTATCATTGATGGACTTTTGGGTTGGTTCCAAGTCTTTGCTATTGTGAATAGTGCCACAATAAACACACGTGTGCATGTGTCTTTATAGTAGCATGATTTATAATCCTTTGGGTATATACCCAATAATGAGATGGCTGGGTCAAATGGTATTTCTAGTTCTAGATCCTTGAGGAATCACCACACTGTCTTCCACAATGGTTGAACTAGTTTACACTCCCACCAACATTGTAAAAACATTCCTATTTCTCCATATCCTCTCCAGCACCTGTTTCCTGACTTTTTAATGATTGCCATTCTAACTGGTGTGAGATGGTATCTCACTGTGGTTTTGATTTGCATTTCTCTGATGGCCAGTGATGATGAGCATTTTTTCATATGTCTGTTGGCTGCGTAAATGTCTTCTTTTAAGAATTGTCTGTTCATGGACTAAGGTTCATGAACAGATATGAACCTTAGTCCATTTTAAAATCAGCTTATTTGTTTCAGCTGTATTTTGAGTTGTATCTTGCTTTTGAGTTGTATGAGTTCCTTATATATTTTGGATATTGCTGTGGTTTTAATGTCCTCTCCGAAACTCATGTTGAAACTTAATCTTCAATGTGACAGCATTGAGAAGTGAGGCCTTAAAGAGGTGATTATATCATGAGGGTTCTACCCACATAAATGGATTAATCCACTAATGGATTAATGAGTTGTCAGGCAAGTGGAACTGGTGGCTTCATAAGAAGAGGAACGGGCCGGGCGCGGTGGCTCAAGCCTGTAATCCCAGCACTTTGGGAGGCCGAGGTGGGCGGATCACGAGGTCAGGAGATCAAGACCATCCTGGCTAACACGGTGAAACCCTGTCTCTACTAAAAATACAAAAATTAGCCGGGCGTAGTGGCAGGCGCCTGTAGTCCCAGCAACTCGGGAGGCTGAGGCAGGAGAATGGCGTGAACCCGGGAGGCAGAGCCTGCAGTGAGCCGAGATCGCGCCACTGCACTCCAGCCTGGGCAACAGAGCCAGACTCCGTCTCAAAAAAAAAAAAAAAAAAAAAAAGAAGAGGAACGACCTAAGCACAGCATGTTAGCCACCTTGCCATGTTATGCCCTGTACCACTTCAGGAATCCGCAGAGAGTCGCCACTAGCAGGAAGGCTCTCTTGCGCCACATGCGCCCCCTCAGCCTTGGACTTTCCATCCTCCATAACTGTAAGAAATAATAATACATTTCTTTTCTTTATAAATTACCCAGTTTCAGATATTCTGTTATAAGCAACAGAAACAGATTAAGACAAATATTAACCACTTATCAGATATATGGTTTGCAAATATTTTCTCCTATTCTGTGAGTTGGCTTTCATTTTGTTGATTGTTTCCTTTGTTGTCCAGAAACAATTTTGTTTGACGAGATACCACTTATTTTTGCTTTTGTTACTGTGTTTTTGGTGTCATATAAAACAACTTGCAAAGACCAATGTCATGGAACTTTTCACTGTTTTATTATAGGAGTTTTATAGTGGCAAGTCTTACATTAAAGTCTTCAATCCATTTTGAATTGATCTTTGTGTATGGTATATGATAAGGGCCAATTTCTTTTTGTTTTTGCATATGGATATCCGGTTTTCCTAATAACATTTATCCTTTCCCTATTGGGTATTCTTGGTAACTTTATTTTCTCCCTTGTTAATTTTCTGTGTGGATGCTCTATTCATTGTCAATAATGGGTTACTGAAGTCCGCTACGATTATTATATTGCTGTTTCTCCCTTCAGTTATGTAAATATTATATATTTAGGTGCTCTGACATTATGTGCATATGTACTTATAATTTTTATATCCTCTTGATGAATTAGCCCTTTATAATTATATAATGAGCTCCTTTGTCTCTTGTTATAATTTTTGACTAAAAGTCTATTTTGCCTGATGTAAGTATAGCCACCCCTACCGTCTTTTGTTTTCCATTTGCATGGAGCATCTTTTTTTCATCCCTTTACTTTCATTCTATATGTATCCTTAGAGCTGGAGTGTGTCTGCTACAGGCAGCACAGATAGTTGCAACTTGTTTTTAAATACATTTAGCTACTCTGTGTCTTTTCATTAGAAAATTTAATCCATTTACGTTCAAGTAATTATTGATAGTTAAGGACTTAATATAGTTATTTTCTTGGTTGTTTTTTGGCTGTTTTGTATATCCTTTCTTCCTTTCTTCCTGTCTTTCTTTGTGATTTGCTGATTTTCTGTAGTGGTATGCTTTAATATCTTTCTGTTTTGTGTATCTAGTATAGGTTTTTGGTTTGTGGTTACCATAAGCTTACATAAAACATGGTTTCAACAGTCTATTTGAAGCTAATAATAACTTAGATTATTAAAATAGATTACATACAAAAACTCTACATATTATTCTCACTACTTTTTACATTCTCAGTGTCAAAATTTACATTTAAAAAATTGTATATTCATTAACAAATTATATACTTTTAATATTTTGTCTTTTAACTTTTATATTAGCATTAAAAGTTATTTATATACCATCATTACAGTATTAGAATATTCTGAATTGACTGTATATTTACCTTACCAGTGAATTTTATACTTGGATATGTTTTCATTTTACTAATTATTGGCCTTTCATTTCAGCTTGAAGAACATTCTCTAGCATTTCTTGTAAGGCAGATCTATTGGTGATAAACTCCCTCAGCTTTTGTTTGTCTGATAAAGACTATCTCTTTCTCAGATCTGAAAAACAGCTTTACGGGTAAAGAGTTATTGGTTGGCAGTTTTTTTCTTTCAGCAAATTGAGTATATCATCCCATTATATACTGGCCTAGAAAATGTCTGCATAGAAGTGCTAATATCCTTTTGATGTACCTTTAAATGTGATATGCTTCTTTCAAGATTCTCTGTTTAACTTTGATTATTGACAATTTGACATAATGTCTTGGAGAAGTCTTCTTTGGGTTAAATACAATTGGAGAGTTTTGAGTTTCATATATCGAGATGTCTATATCTCTTCACAGATTTGGAAAGTTTTTAGCAATTATGCCTTAAATAAGCATTTATTCTATTTTATTTCTCTTTTCCTCTGAGACTCCAATAATGCAAAAAGTTAGCTCCCTTGATGGTGTCCCATAAATCTTGTACATATTTCTTCATTTCTTTTCTTTGTGGTTTTTTTTTTTTTTTGTACTCTGACTAGATAATTTTAAATATTGGTCTTTGACTTCTCTTATTCTTTCTTGTACTTGATCCATCATCTTGGAAGCTCTCTATTTCCTTTTTGTTTTAGTTTAGGCATTGCACCCTTCAGCTCCAAAATTTGTATGGCTCTGTTTTGTTTTTTTTTCTCTTTGTTGAACTTCTACTTTTGTTCTTGTGTTGTTTTCCTGATGTCATTATATTGTTTGTGTTGTCTTGTAGCTCACTGAGCTTTCTTATAACAATTGTTTTGGATTTTTTTGTCAGGCAACTGGTGGATTGATTTTTAGGCAAACCTTCATTTTTGGGGGTTAGTTACTGAAATATTATTGTGTTCTTTTAGTGGTGTCATGTTTCCTTGATTTTTATGACCTTGAAGTCTTGTCTTGTGTTTTCACATTTGAAGAAACAGTCACCCTGTTCAATATTTGTTTGTGCCTACTTCACAGGTGGGATTTTTTCCCTTTTTTTGAGAGAAAATCTCACTCTGCTACCCAGAGTGGAGCAGTGGCATGATCGTGGCTCACTGCAGCATCAAACTCTTGGGCTCAAGCAATCCTCCCACCTCAGACTCCTGAGTAGCTGGGACTGCAGGTGTGCACCACCACATCCAACTGATTTTTTTTTTTTTTTAGAGACGGAGTCTCACTATGTTGCCCAGGCCAGTCTCGAACTCCTAGTCTCAAGAAGTCCTCCTGCCTCGGCCTCCCAAAGTGCTGGGATTTCAGGCATGAACTACCACACCCAGGGTAGATGGGATTTCTAAGATTGTGCTTTGTCTCAATCCTGCAAAGCCAGTCCAGGTTCTGAGAGCCTTCCCTTTGTTTTCCCTAGGGTGGTGCTCTGGAATTCTCAAGTTTGTGTCCTTTTTTCCGATCCTACAAAGTCAAACTGACTGTGAGATGTTTCCTTTTGTTGTCCATGGTGGCTCATTTGGGGACTCAGCCTAGATGGGAGAGTGAAATGTGTGAAAGGCGTGCCTGTGGGTCAGTAGTGCAAGGAGCATAGGTCACGCATCTCAAATGGCAGGCTTTCTGATGAGGCTTTCTGATGAGTGGGTTCTGCAGTCTCTTTTCCCTGCTCCCAGCCTCTCCTAACCATTCAACTATGCTGATCATCTCAGTGTTCTGGGTGGAGTGAGAAATAAGTGGGCTTATCGGACAGCATCCTGAATGGCTGGGGGATGTGGGCCCTCATTAAGTTCTGCACATTTTTTCTGTGGGAGAAATTGTGGGCCAAGTGGGTCTGTCTCAGCATTGAGTTGTGCCACCTTGGGGGAGGAGTGATGTGGGTAAAGTGAAACTGTTCTTCTTACCCTCTTTAATACATCTGTTCTAGGATTTTATAACCTGACAGCGTGCTGGAACTTCTCTGCTGGACTCCTGGACTCCCACAATGGTATTGTCTCATCTGTGGATAGTTGTCTAAATTGATGCTTCTGTGTGGGAAGAAAGCTCCTATTCTACTATTTTGCTGATGCCTTTCTCTCATATTACTTTTGTTAAATAATTAGGAGTTGGATAGGAGAGGAATTGCATAGCTTTGGGGAAAATGGTGCCTCATAGCGTGATGGTGAACATTTGTGAACATTTCTCAGAATATTCTGTAACTACTTTGATTTCTTCTTCTTCTTTTTTAAATTTTGGTCAGTTTTTATAGCCTTTTATGTTGTGGCAGGAAGAAGCCTGATTTTCCTTTAATTTTACAAAAATCTCTACATATACTTACCTCGGTTATCACATGAAGTGTCTAGAGAATTGAAGAAAAATTATAAGATTCTTAATTTCTCATAAACAGACTCCTATATTAATTTCTTAGCAATACAATAATTTACCACTTTGTGTTGAATATGCATGTCGGGATCCTAAAAGAGAAGATAAAAACATAATGAGATTTTACTTCAACAAGTGAGTCTATATTATTTTTTGTTAGATAGAAATCTGTTTACCTCTTCCTCTTTTAGATCTCTGAGAAGAAAAATCTTTTAGGAAAGAAAAAAACATATTAAGTTTACCAACAGTTCATTAAAAAATAAGTTTATCTGGCCGGGCGTGGTGGCTCACGCCTATGTTCCCAGCACTTTGGGAGGCCGAGGCGGGTGGATCACGAGGTCAGGAGATCGAGACCATCCTGGCTAACACGGTGAAACCCCGTCTCTACTAAAAACACACAAAAAAATTGGCCGGGCGTGGTGGCAGGTGCCTGTGGTCACTGCTCAGAAGGCTGAGAGAGGAGAATGGCGTGAACCCGGGAGGCGGAGCTTGCAGTGAGCCAAGATTGCGCCACTGCACTCCAGCCTGGGCGACAGTGCGAGACTCCGTCTCAAAAAAAAAAAAAAAAAAAAAAAAAAAAAGTTTATCATTAGTCTCAATCCAACTACTAAAAGATTTGCTAGTTTCCCAGATATTCCCATTTTCTTTAGGTTCCATTTCAGAAAATAAAGAGGGAATGCCATGGCACTGTGCTCTTCACTCTTGTTGTTCATGATAGATGAATCATAGAGGTAAGAAGGAGAAGGATGGACCAAGAGTCCAAGTGTGGGGCATGGACAGCAAGCGAAGTGACTGAGTTACTTTCTCTTTTCTTTCCTCAACTCTCAGGGATCTATATGCTTGTAGCGTGTGTGTGTGTGTGTGTGTGTGTGTAATTATTTCCACATCCACAATCTCATAACCTTATAGTTCTGGTGTAGCTGGTGGGCCTGGTGTGGACAACTTTAGTGGCTTCCAGCAAGAATGAGAGGTAGCTCTAGTGGTTCTTGTTGAGTTCTGGAGATAGGACTAGTCAGAAAGAGAGAAAGAGGGAAGGAAAGAGAGAGAGAGAGAGAGAGAGAAAGAGAGAGAGAGACAGCCGAGGGAACATCTATAGGCAGCCCTGGTGAGTGGATACTGAAAGAGAACATTGAGTGTTGGGGCGTGAGGGTTAGGGATAGCCATGGTACATTGAAATTAGTGGTACTGGTGTGTCCCTTCAAAAAAGTAGACAGCGCATTGCCGTCTTCTCATAACTCTCACGTTTCAAAACCTGAATTTGATATCCAGCTCCCTCCTCAGCTAGGTGAACTTGAGTAAGTCTCAATCTTTTGAGCATAAATTTCATCTTCTTAAATGGGGATAAGCTTTGTTTACCTCTTCTACTGTATGGCTTTCAAAGTGTATTTTCACATATACTATTCCATTTCATATTCATTTTATCCACATTTTAAACATCCAGGAAATTGTTTCGGAGCGGTTCCTTAACCTTTCTAATATCTTGGAAGTAGACAGAAGATGGAAATGAATTCTTTTGATGGTCTTAAGAAGGAGAATTATTTACCTTTTCTGAGAAAAATGCACAATTTTTCTTGAGAAAGAGAGAGAGGAGTGATAAGCATTTGAATATTATAAAAACGAAAGATATGCTGACTCAACAAATCATGCTCAAATGGAGATGAGTTGATTCACACTCTAAAGAGTATATTCCTTCATTAACTGTCTAGTAGTTCCTAATCTATTTACCTCTACCATCCTCATAGTCCAGAAGTCTAGCACCTAGAAAAAAAGGGAGAGCACATGATTTTGCTTCTTGATTATTAATGAGGCTTTATTTAAGACTCTGAGAACTAATGTAAACATGAACTCCTAATGGTGAATAATGATGTGAATTAATTTACTTTGCAGGAACTAGGAATTGTGCATAAGCTACAAGAGCTGACGATGATAAGTGACTGTGTCAATCACCAATTTTATAATATTAGCCAGGCTAAATGATAGTCAGAAGGAGTTTCAGAGTTTCTTTTACCTCTTGATACTTCAGCAGCTAGTCTCCTGGTTTTTGCCTCATACCAATCCTGTGCTATCTTTCTTAACAACTTTGGCATCTCTCCAGATCTTTCCATGGAAAGTCTTCTTCAATTCTTCACATCCTGAAGTTGGTACTCTTCTCAATCATAATTACCCT
Organism: Homo sapiens; assembly: GCF_000001405.40. Classification (NCBI taxonomy): domain Eukaryota; kingdom Metazoa; phylum Chordata; class Mammalia; order Primates; family Hominidae; genus Homo; species Homo sapiens. The sequence goes on from NT_167247.2 coordinate 3,710,134, forward strand.
AACTGTGTTCACTCTCGTTATTCTAGGATACATTATATTTTTCGGTCCGGCCACTTCACTAAGGCCGTCTTCATGAATGGATTTAGGCTTTTTACTGAACCATCTGTTCCAGTGCCTGAACTGGAACAGTTCTCTGTTGCTGCTCTCAGACCACAGGAAGCATCTGAAGGGAGCCTCAGAATTATGCAGGCCTACCCAGTATTAATTAATTCTCCCCAACTCCAGTTTGGCATTCAGTACTGCTCAGAAATCTCTGGTAGATTTCTCCCACTCACTTAGAAGCAGTTCAGTTCATGCAATGGTGCACTATGCAAGGTTCTGGAAACACAACTGTAAACAAGACAGATTTCATTCCTGACTTGTGAAAATTCTATAATACTATATTTATTTTTCTCATGAGTATAAGTACTTACTTTGTTCTGAACTGTATCTGGAGATATGCATTTCTGTGGAAGAATTAGGCAAAATGTTTTTATTAGTTACTTAGGAGAAGTGTTCTTCCTCTGATCAAACTCTTCTCACTCTAAGCTATGCTTCTTGCTTACCAAGGTGGTCCTCCTGATATAATGCATTGTTGTTCTCACCCATTTTCCACATCTCCCATCAGCCCTGTTTTACCTATCTTTTCACACTACTTATGCTTTGAGGGCTCACAGGCATTGAGGATGGGAAACAGGGAGGGAATACAGCTGATTAGAAAGTTGTGGGAGAGAAACAGAAAAATCCAGGAAAGAGAGACCTTATGGCATAGAAATAGGTCTTAGCTTTTATGAGCTCCATCTCTATTTCATCGACAAGTACTACTCTGTATTTGTCTCTTCTTATCATCTCCCCAAATTAAGTCACTAAAAGTCTCCAATTCTTTTTATATAATACTAGATACTGGTGTTTAGCAACATACTGTCTTCTCACTTCTATTTTTTTTTTTTTAAACTCAGGTAATTTCCCTTGGAGCTCAGGTAATTTTCTTTTAAAATATTCTTATTACTTTTGCTAAACTCTGTGATTTTTTTTTTTTTTTTTGAGATGGAGTCTTGCACTGTCACCCAGGCTGGAGTGCAATGGCGTGATCTCGGCTCACTGCAACCTCCATCTCCTGGGTTCAAACAATTCTCCTGCCTCAGTCTCCCGAGCGGCTAGGCTTACAGTTACCTGCCACCATGCCCAGCTAATTTTTGTATTTTTAGAAGAGACAGGGTTTCACCATTTTGGTCAGGCTGGTCTGGAACTCCTGACCTTGTGATCCGCCCGCCTCGGCCTCCCAAAGTGCTGGGATTACAGGCGTGAGCCACCGCTCCCGGCCTGTGACTTTTTCTTTGACATTATTGATAATGTAAACCTTGGGAGTTAAAAGTGCAGGGACAATCACTAATAGGTCAGAGATTCTTTGACTCAAGTATTGAAACAGATTCCCAGAATATTGGCAAAGTCTCTAGCTGTTTGATGAGTGAGATGAACTCAGACTGAATCTTGGCATCCCTCCCTCCATGGTTTTCACAGGAAATCTTCATTTTGACTCATTATTACTCACCACTTTGCTTACGTCGTGCCCATCTTGTTAACAAAATAGCCAGGATGGCAAGTCCCAGTAGAGTCAGGATGACAGCCAAAGTTATTTCTGAAAACAAAAACTCACCTGTAAACATGCTTATTTAGACCAGGAAATTACCAGAAACAACTTCTGATCACCTCTTACTATCCACCAGATAGACTTTTTTTTCTTTCCCCTTTCTGCTACTTCAACTCCTTTATTCTTTTATTTGCCGCATATTACTGTCCTCACATTCCCGCCCCTGCCCATTTTTAGCTCTTACATTGGTTCTTTGGTCGTATACTAAGAACCTCAGATGCTGTGTACCCTTGGTTTAGAGTTGGAAATCTGACAGATTTCCTCCTCAGTTGAACCCTTTACTCCCCAGGCAGGAAGAATGTTAAAGGGAATCAGTGGTCTACGAAGCTATCCACTGGGGTATGGGGAAAATATTAGAACTTCTATTTTCTGTGTAATTTTAACTCATACCTTTAAAGTTGCAAGATTTTCTGTGTGTGTGTGTATATATATATATATATATATATATATATATATGGCTATAAATAAGATTTATAAATATACTTTTATAGGCAATGCATACTCAAAACATTTTTATGAGTGAGTGATCAAAAAACTTTCAGCACCTTGACTGAAGGGTGCTGACTGAAGGTGGTTTTATTAATGAAAGCCACAGCAAAGGACAGAAATTTCTTGTCACACAAAAACCTTTCAGTCATCACTTGCCAACCTCCTGATGATAAGATGGATATTTGCGAGGTTTGTTATTGTGGTTAGTAGGATAAAATATGCTGGGATTGCTTAACTTGTGTTTGTTTATGTGTCATTGATCTGCATTCAATTGATGTAAGATAGAGTCTTGCAGTCATAGGAGAGAAAAATCTTAGACAATATCATATGGTTATAAAGGGCAGTGGCTATGAAGGATCGGGGGAGAAAAAAAAAGAAAACAGAGAGAGAGAGAGAAAGGAAAGAAGAAAAAAACAACCATAAAACTGCCTGTGAAAGTAAAAACTCTGAAGAATATTGAGCTCTGAAAGACTAGGAAAGTAGATTACACCCACATTAAGACTACTTCAAACGAACAATAGGTGAATCCATCTCAAGATATAATAACACACCTCCAACCAGGGCAGATTAGGCATTTGTCTACTGAGTCTTCTAGGTGTTTGGTCCTGTGAGAAAATTCTCCTGCCAAATCAACTTTTGGAGATTTTCTTCTAATGTACCTCTAAAATGAACAGCAAGTAGTCAATATGCCCTCTATTATGTGAATTTTTTTTTCTAGTGTTAAATAACTCATTGGGGAGGAAAGGATAACTAGATGGTGTACTCAGTACTACTGTATATTCCTTTTCTTCCTTTAGTGTCTGAAATGCCCTGTCTATAGGGCAGTTAGAAGATGGTCCACCCTATTAATAGGGAAAATGAGAGGAAATCATTATTTCTGAGTTGAGGCAGATTATATAGAGTGACCATGCTACAGGAAGTGAGATAATGGGCTAAGGAATTTTTCCTAGTGCTACGGAGGATGGTTATTTTCTTTGTTCAGTTTAAACTCTAGAAACCAAAGGAGAAACCAGCACTATCAGCCTAGAGCTTAGTTAACTGTGGGTTGTTTCCCCCAGGCTTCCAGAGGAATCAATAAGAGTGAAAGAAAAAATATTGAATTTGAAAAGGAAGCAGGCAAGGAAGATAAAGCAGTTGTGTTAAAGTCCCTAAGTCCCTAAGAGGAGACTCCTGAACTACTAGAGTTGAGGAAGCCTCAAAGAGGGAGTTAGTCCATACCCAAGACTGTCATTTTCCATGTATTGTCTTCATCAGGTCTCGCATCATCTGGATTTCTTTGTCAGAGAGAGATCAAGATAAAACGAAAAACTCAAGTTCACTGTTTCTGAGCAATATGAACTTGGGTGTCAGGGAGGCCCTTGTAGGCAGAGATGCAGAGGATCACTGAGAAATTGCGTGGAGCAGATTGATCAGACCTAAGCAAATGATGGGAGTGTGGCCTGTGAAGGTTCTAGAATCTGTGTCATAACAGAGACTTAGAACATTAGTGAGGCAGGAGAAAAGGCAGAGGATCAAAAGGCTAGGAAGATTTAATAATGCTTTGGAGGACCTTGAACTTGTATAGGATACTGGAAGGGAACTCACTCTTTCTGGGCTTTAGAATTATTTCTAGTTTTTCAGAGATTTTTAAGGCCAGAGATTGTATATCATTAATCTTTGTAACTCTTTTTTTTAATTTTTTTTGAAGATAGAGTTTCACTCTTGTTGCCCAGGCTGGAGAGCAGTGGCACCATTTCGGCTCACTGCAACCTCCACTTCCTGGGTTTAAGCAATTCTCCTGCCTCAGCCTCCCAAGTAGCTGGGATTACAGGCATGTGTCACCACACCCAGCTAATTTTGTATTTTTAGTAGAGGTGGGGTTTCTCCATGTCGGTCAGGCTGGTGTCAAACTCCCTACCTCAGGTGATCCACCCGCCTTGGCCTCCCAGAGTGCTGGGATTACAGGCGTGAGCCACCGTGCCCAGCCTAATGTTTGTAACTCTTAAGGCAGAGAACCTTCCACAGAATAAGCATTTTATAAATGTTTGATAATTAAAAATGAGAAAAATGACTATATTTAAAAAGAGGCAGACTGGATAAAGAAAATGTGGTAAATATACACCGTGGAATACTACACAACCATAAAAAATAATGAGATGATGTCCTTTGCAGCAACATGGATGGAGGTGGAGACCACTATTCTAAGCAAACTAAAGCAGGAACAGAAAACCAAATACCATATGTTCTCACTTATAAGTGGGAGCTAAACAACAAGAACACATGGACACTAAGAGGGGAACAACAGACACTGGGGCCTACTTAAGGGTGGAGGCTAGGAGGAGGGAGACAGCATATCTCTTGGGTTTTATGCTTATTACCCAGGTGACTAAAGAATCTGTACACCAAACCCCCACAACACACAATTTACCCATATAACAAACAATTACATACATGTACCCTTAAAACTAAAAGTTAAAAAAAGAAGAGCCTTGAAACAAATGAAGGTGAACAAAGGAAGTCAAGTTGTTGGAGTTAGATAGCAAGAAGAAATCCAGTCCAGAGGTCTATGGTGCTAGGAAGAGTGAGCCAGTAAATGGGATCTCATAAGCCACTGTGGAGAACAAGGAAGAGTAATAACACCTTTTATTGAGTGTCTATTGACTACAAAGTTCTATAGTGGGTACCTTATAAGCACAAACTTGTTTAATCCCTAATAAACTGTACGATGAAATTCTTTGAGATGGAGAGAGACACTAGAAGTTACCCAGCCAACAAATGGCAGAGTTTCTGACTCCAAAGCCCACACTGTATTCACAAAGCCACATTTTGTTTCAGTCTTCTATGCATCCTGTGGTGGTGATTTCTAAGTTAAGAAGTCAGTCACTTGAAGAGGAAGGTGATGACTTCTAGTTTTAGGATGCTCCACCTGCCAAAAATAATCTCAAAATTGTTGAGATTATTTTTCCATAAGTGTTTTATGCATACTTATGGAACACCATCAAACATACAAATATATGAATTATGGAAGTACCAAAAGAAGAAAAAGAGGAAGGGGCAGTAAGCTTAATCAATGGAATATTATCTGAGAATTTTCCAAATCTTGAGAGGGATATGAACATCCAGATTGAAGACGATCAAAGCATCCCAAGCAAGTTCAATTCAAAAAAGACATACTCCAAGATATATTATAATCAAATTGTCAAAGGTCAAACACAAAGAGAGAATTCTGAAAGAAACATCACGTGTAAGAGATCTCCCATAAGTCCATTACCAGACTTCTCAACGGAAACCTTGCAAGTCAGTATTTTTAACCTGCAGAATTGCTATTTATTTCTATAATTTCTCCTTCTGATATTCTCAAATTGCTGAGACATCATTCTTATACTTTATTTTTTAGACATGTCTTATTCTGCTAATTACAATGTCTGGGCTTCTTCAGAAACAGTTTCTTTTTATTATTTTCTGTGCATGGGTCATGATTTCTTTTTTCTTTACATGCTTCATTATTTTTTGCTGAAATCTAGACATTTTGAATATTATAATGTTGCAATTTAGAAACCAGATTTCCTCCCTCTACAGAGTTTGCTGTTGTTGCATTTGTTGTATTACTACTTGTTTGTTTGTTTGTTTAAAGATTTTTCTGATCTAATTTTATAAAGTCTCCATTCTTTCCTGAATGTAACGTTTGATGTTTCTGCCCGGTTAGCTTAGTCATTAGCTAATGATTGAACAGAGACAATGCCTAGAACCAAAGCAAACACTATGCTAGTCTGTGCCAAGGAACTCTGTGTGTGTGTGTGTGTGTGTGTGTGTGTGTGTGTGTGTGTGTTGAGGTACACCTTCAACATTCAACTAGTCTCACTTTTGCCCCTCCAACAAATGCCCAGTGAATTTGTGCCCAGTAAGGTCCAGGTCACCTTCTTCCTACAGGACTTAAAGCAAACCAAGGGGGATCTTGGCAAGCTTTCAGATGACCCTTATAGATATATAGAGGTTTTCCAGACTTTCACCCATATATTTAAACTCTCCTGGAGAGATGTTATGCTACTTTTGAATCAGACCCTGATGGACACTGAGAAGCAGGCCGCTCTGCAAGCAGTAAAGAGATTTGGGAATGAGCTTTGTATCACATATGGCATCAGGGAAGGGAGCAAACATTATCCAACTGGAAGAGAAGCAGTAAAAGTGAATGACCCTAAGTGGGATCCCAATGACAGGTGGAAGACTGGAAGAGGAGACGCTTTCAGATGTGCATAATGGAAGGCTTTTGTAGGACTAAGACCAAGCCTCTCAATTATACTAAGTTGTCCATGATCGACGAGGTATTTGATGAAAATCCTGCTGCCTTCCTGGAGAGACTAAGAGAGGCCTTGGTAAAGCATACCTGTCTATCTCCTGATTCAGTCGAGGGACAGCTAACCCTAAAGGATAAATTTATTACTCAGGCAGCTCCTGACATCAGGAGGAAGTTGCAGAAACGGGCCCTGGGACCGGATAGTACATTAGAGGACCTTCTGAAAGTGGCCACCTTGGTCTTTTATAATACAGACAGGGAGGCCCAGGAAAGAGAGAGGAAATACAGGAAAGAGACAGAAGCTTTAATGGCCACCAGGCAAGCCCACAAACCCCAGAATTCCCAGGGTACACCTGTTAACTACTAAAGATATGGCCAGAACAGTTATCTCATTCTAAAAGTTTATCCACTCCCATACAAGGTTTAATTTCTTTCACCAGGGTGAAACATCTCAGGGTACAATGTTGTTGTTAGTATATTTCACTTCTTAACTCTGTAATCTTTGGCACTAATTTTTTTTCCTTGTATAATACACGTATTTATTATAGTATGTATAGTATGTATGTACATAGTTACAGTGTGTATAACTTGGGTATACATACCCAAGTATATATAATCCATGCATACTTAACCTTATAAAACTTGTTTTTTCTCTCACACCTGGAAGCCATCAACCTCCAAATGGTCAGGGAACCGGAGCCTTGGATGATGGCTCCCCTTTGCTAGGAACCCTTATATACACCTCTGGGAAGAATCTGACTGCCGTTTTCCCCAAAACGATGCCCCTATCAGCAGGAAGCAGCTAAGACCCGTCATCATCCATATTCGAACAGCAGTTAGATGTACCTCTTCAGACGGGGGAGGTGATATAGAAGAGGGGCAGGGAAGTGCTGGTAAGGGAAGGGCATGGTCCCTGGCTAAGGCTCCACCCCTGGGCCTGTGCCCACAGACCTAGGTAAGGACAGACACTCCTGCCTTCATGCCCAAATGTTGCATTTCCCAAGACCACCCTGGCCTGCCATGCCCCCATCCTGTGCCTGTAAAAATCCTGAGACCCTAGCAGGCAGGGACAGAAGCGGCTGGACGTCGAAAGGAACACATCAGTGGAAGAACACACAAGTGGCTGGATGTCAAGAGGGACACATCGGTTAAAGATCACGCCAACAGGAACCAGCAGATGCTGGCACGCTGGCAGGCCATTGACCAGCGGAACAAAATGGAGTTTGGCCAGGGCAGTTGGAGGGGAACCCAGCTGCTGAGCAGCCTGATTCCAGGGGAAAACCACCTTCCCACTCCATCTCCCTTCTGGCTCCCCCATCTGCTGAGAGCCACTTCCACTCAGTAAAACCTTGCTTTCATTCTTCAAGCCCACATGTGATCTGATTTTTCTGGTACACCAAGGTAAGAACCTGGGATACAGAAAGCCCTCTGTCCTTGCAATAAGGCAGAGGGTCTAACTGAGCTAGTTAACACTAGCTGCCTATACATGGCAAAACTAAAAGAGCACACAGTAACACATGCCCACTGGGGCTTCAGGAACTGTAAACATACACCCCTAGATGCTGCCGTGAGGCCAGAGCCCCACATCCTGTCCGTCTGTATGCTCTCCCTAGAGGTTTGAGCAGCAGGGCACTGAAGAAGTGAGCCACTCCCGCTGTTGCAAGCCCTGTGAGGGGGACAAGAAGACCTTTCCCATTTCAGTATCTTAGAAGGTGGTAACTGCTGTGAAAAGTGAAAAAGCAAGTCAGTGAAAGAGAACTACTGGCAGCTGCAGTGGGATTTCGATTTAAATAGATTATCCTGGATATACCTCTGTGAGAAGGCAATACTTGGGGGAAGTAGGGTAGATATCTAAGTGGATTTCTGAGTGAAGAGTTTTCCAGGCAGAGAAGACAACTACAGCAAAGACCGTAAGATAGGAATGTGTCTGGTGTTTTCAAGGAATATGAAGTGGCCAGTGTCACTGGTATGAACTGATCCAGGAAAACAACAGTAGGAAAATAAGTTAGAAAGATAATGGATCAGCCAGGCATGGTGGCTCATGCCTGTAATCCCAGCACTTTGGGAGGCCAAGGTGGGAAGACCCCTTGAACCTAGGAATTCAAGACCAGCTGGGGAAAGATGGCAAGACCCCGTCTCTACAAAATAATAAAAAAATTAGCCAGGCATGGTGGCATGCACCTGTAGTCCAGTTACTCAGAAGGCTGAGGCAGGGGAAGACCCTTTGATCCCAGGAGGTTGAGGCTGCAGTGAGCTATGATTGTTCCACTGTACTCCAGCTTGGGCAACAGAGCAAGACCCCGCCTCAAAAAAAATTGTAACATCTAGTGAGCTACTGACAGGACTTTGATTTTAACTTGAATGAAATAAAGAGATAAGATGGGTCATTATGTAGGCAAATGACACGTTTTTACCTATGTCTGCATAAAGACATAAAACAATTTTTCTGCTGTGTTAAGAAAAGACAGTAGTGGGAGGAAAAGAAGCAAGGAGACTACTGTTAAGAGTTATCCAGGCAATCGTTGACAGTACCTTTGTCTAGTTTGTGAACTACTAAAGTGGTGAAATGCATTTAAATTTGTAGCAGTATTTTCCCCACTGGGGATAAGGGAATGACTGCCAAAGATTGCCAATACCTAGGCATTAAGGAGAACATAAATATAAGTATGGAATTTCATGCAGACCAGGGTTAAAGGGTCTAAGGATACACCTGAGACAATGTCTGAAAACTAAGGAAGGGAAGAAAAGTGAACAGAAATAGAGTTAAGTGGGAGTAGTTGTCAGAAAAGAAAGTAATGTCTAATTATACAGCTGTTTATTGATTAACAGAGGGCTTCTAAAGGGCAGTTATTTAGATAAGAACTTCTTAGATGAGAGTGCAACTTCGCTGAGCGTAGTAGATTCTAATCTTATGCCCTTTGCCATAGACATTTTCTTTCCCTGATGATTTTTTTAAATCCATATTTTATATCTGCAAACACATGTTTCTTTCCCTCAGGTTCCAGAATCTGTGTCTCAAGCCTACGTGGCTTAGATGGGATCTAACAAGAAAAGTCTGTCCCCTGTCTGGGTTACTGGGTCCAACCAGTTGGCAAGTTTTAGCTCTGATTTTGTTTCTTAACTTCTAGAATAACAGGAATATAGGGTATCTTAGTATTTCAATGACAAACTCTGACAAAAGGATATATATCAGAGGTGGGGACTTTCAACAAATATTGGACTAGAGCAAATAAAACTGTCATATGCAGTTGGCATTATTGTGTATTTAGAAATTGCAAGAAATACTACAGCTAAATTTTTGGAATTAATAAGTTTACCAAGGTTATTAAATACAAGAATAATATCCAAGAACCAACACATGTTTATAAGACAGAAATGAAGAGAACATACAATTTGAAAAGAAAATACAATTCACATTATCATCAAAATTACACACTACCTAGGAATACATCTTTTTAAAAAGTTCAAAATATGTGGATTAAATGTAAAAAAACTTTGTCTTATAGATATCCAGATATAGCTATAGCTCTCTATAAATAAAGAGGCATGTATAGTTTTTAGAGTAAAAATAAATACATATTTTATTTTATTTTATTTGCTTGCTGCAAAACTTTTGTGACATATTGGCTCCTTAAGCAATATTTGGAAACAGGGTAATACTGTTGAGAAAACAAACATATTACATTTAGAGATTCGAAATGAGAATATATACTTTACAAATTAAACCACATACTTTGACATTTTCTTTAAAAACTACATTTATAAATTGTATGGTAACACCAATGTTTATCTATTCCCTGGGCCAATCTACTAAATTATCATGATATGGATAATAATCCTCCATGGCAATGTCAAAGATGGTATTTAAATAGACATTAGATAGATAGATAGATAGATAGATGATAGACACACACATATAATTTGTTTGATTTTGTGTTTTTATTATTTCTATACCTAGAGTCAAGGGGTTAACTGAGCTAGGTGCAATCTGATTCTTTTTATTCTAAGTAAAATAGCCAGGCACAGAAAGACAAATACTGTGATCTCACTTATACATGGAATCTAAAAAGTCAGACTCATAGGAGTGGAGAGCAGAATGGTGGTTACAGGCTGGGGAAGTGGGGCGATGATGGGGAAGATGAGAAGATGTTGGTCAAAGAGTACAAAGTTTCAGTTACACAAGAGCAATATGTTTTTGAAATATATTGCTAATAATAATGTATATTTTACAAATTACGAAGAGGAAATTTCAGTCTGTTCACCAAAAAAAATTGATAAGCATGTGAAGTGATGATTATGTTAATCAGTTTAATTCAATCATTCACTATATAGCTTAATTTAATAATTCCACTATATATAATATATAGATTTATTTTTATACTTTTATATATTTGTATATAGTTATATATATCTATGAATATGTAGTTATATATTATTTATATATAGTTACATATTAGTATATATATTTATAGTCTATAAATGTATGTAATATATAATATACATTATGTTGTACATAATATATATGCTGTGTATGAAATATATATAAATAGTTTTGAGGTACATATATCTGTCAAAACTTGATATTATGCCTCATAAATATATATATTATTTTCTATTATAAAAGAAAATATTAAATATAAATCAAATTTATTTATATACCAGTAAAGCATATAAAATTATATAAATATTGAAAACAAACCTATGTAAATATAGATATACCTCTTTATTTAAAAGACTTCCTACAGTCATGGATTGGAAAACTTAATATTACTAAGGTGACAATATTATCCAATGTGATAGGGAGATTCAATGTAATTCCTTACCAAAATCTTAATGGCATTATTTTTTGGATAGAAATAGAAAAATCTCTCTTAAAATTCATGTGGAACATAAAAGGACCTCAAGTAACCAAAACAATCTTGAAAAACAAGAAACAAATTTGCAGGACTCTCACTTCCCAGTTTCAAAACTTAATACAAAGTTACAGTAATCAAGAGTGCATGCAGCACTGGTATAAAGAAAAATACAGAGACAAATGGAGAAGCATTGAGAGGCCAGAAGTGAACTCTCAATTCATTTACCACGGGTGCCAAGACCATTCAATGGGGAAACGGTGGTCTTTGACAAATGGTGTTGGGAAAATTAGACACCCACATGCAGGAAGAATGAAGTTGGATTCTTACTTTAAGCCATGTGCAAATTCAATCAAATTGAGCCAAAGACCTAAATTTAAGTGATAAAACTGTAAAACTCTTAAAAGAGAACAAGGGAAAAATCTTCATGACTTTGGATTAGGCAATGGCTTCTTTAAAATGACACCAAAAGCACAGACCACAAAAGAAAAATTACATAAATTGGGCTTTGTAAAAATTAAAAACTTTTGTGCATCAAAATACACTTATCAAGAGAGTGAAAAGAAAACCTACAGAATTGTTTGCACAGATGCAAAGATTCTAATTAAAACAGTAAGATAAATCTAGTAAAAAATACATATAATTAAGTGTAGTTTAATCTTAAAAATATAAATTTTGTAATACATTAATACAATTATGAAATTATATACATAATATAAAGCAAAAACAAAATTAAAAACAAGAAAATAAAAACTATGTAATCTTAGATGGCACAAACATTTTAAAATAAAAGTTAATATCCACTCATGATTTTAAAAATAAAACAACAGCAGCAACAATATCCTCTAGCAATGTAAGAATAGAAGAAAATTTTCTGAGTCTACTAAATAGTGCCAGGGAAGAATCAAAAGCTAACATCAAAAACAGTAGTGTTGTATTGCTCACTTTACCCCTAAAATCGAGAACAAGAAAAGAATGTCCTCTATTAGTACTTCCAGTAGTGAGGAGGACCTGGCCAGAAGAATAAAGCAAAATAATTAATTAATTAATTAAAAGTAATAAAGATTGGAAAGAAAGAAGACAATATTGTCATTCACACATAATGTGCTTAAGTACTTAGATAATCGAATGGAATCTATAAAACCACCAAACTTCTAGAATAATTAATCAGGGATTTTAGCAAGGTCTCAGTGTACAAAATTAATAATGAAAATAAATTTTATTTCCATACATTAGTAATTAACATTTGGAAAATGAATATATCACTTACAATAGAATCAAATAGTATAAAATTCTTAAGAATATAATTAACAAAGTATATGCAAGATACCTACACTGAAAACTGCAAAACCCTTCAGATAAAAATTTAAAAATACCTACATAAAGGAAGAGACCTAACAAAAGTGTTGTATCTAGACTATTTGAAGAATTTCTTCAACTTCATAAAAATATTAAATAATGCAACAAAATAGAACAAAGATTTGAATGAATATTTCATAAATGAAGATAGATGACTAAAGAATTCAACATAATCATCAGGAAAATGCAAACCAAAATGAGTTATTACTTTACACTCACTGACCTGGATATAATTTAAAAGGCTGAAAATATCAATTATTGGTTATGTGGAGTCACTGAAACTCTCATACATTGCTTATTTGAATGTAAAATAGTGCAGCCACTTTGGAAAACTGATTTGTAGCATTTTATAAAATTAAACACATACCTACTCTTTGACCCAGACATTGTATATGGAATGAAAAGTATAAAAGAAATGAAATATGTGTCCACAATAGACTTGAAAGAGAATGTTCATAGCAATTTTATTAATAATAGCCCAAACCTAGAAACATCCAGGTATCCATCAGCAGAAAAATGAGTGGAAAAAACTGAAGCATATTCATAAAATGAAATTCAACTTAAAATATTAAAAGAACATACACAGCAATATACATGATCTCAACATTATATTGAATGAAAAAAATTAGATACAACAGAGCAAATAGTGTATTATTACCATATGAAGTTAATGAAAAGGCAAAACTAAACTTTGATGATGGGAATCAGACTACTGGTTGCCTGTGAAAAATTAATGTTCTTTGTTTGGATTGAGGTATGAATTACTTGGGTGTATTCAATTGTTAATACTTATAATCTGTGCTTGTAAAAATACATGTCTGTAAATTACACTTCAATCATTTAAAAAAGAGAGATTACAAAATTTTGAGTTTGAGAGTAGAAATTCAAGCCTAATCTTCTTGAGCCTTTTAAGACTACTGGGTTGAAAGGGAGACAGACCCTAGCTTACTTTATAACACTGATGATATGGATTTGAGGTGAGAGAAAAAAAATATTTTTCATCATCCTAATGAAATTTATGTCTTCTCATATCCACAATTTTTTTCAATCTCATGTCTTTGGAAAATCCTGCTTCGCAAATATGGAAGAGAAAGCTATACCCTCCCCTCTAGGAATCAGAGGTTGTCCTAACGTCCTCTTTCACATCATTCTCTTCTATAAACCCAGTGTCCTTAAAATTAGTTAGGCCTATAGTCAAGTAAGACTGTAATAATAAATATAGTAAGTGGAACTGCCAACCCTGTCTTTCCTAATCTTTTGAATTAGCAAAATATCCTTTATCCAAAGGGAAGAGAAGAAATCCTGTGTCAGGAGGACATAATTGCTATCTCTCCAGAAAAGAATGCCAATCCATGTATCTCTCTTTTTGTTTTTTTAGAGAGAGAGACAGGGTCTCTCTCTGTCACCCAGGCTGGAGTGCAGTGGTACAGACATGGCTAACTGCAGCCTCTATCTCCCAGGCTCAAGCAATCCTTGTCCTCCTGCTTCAGCCTCCTGAGTAGCTGGGACTACAGGCATGTGCCACCAAACTCAGCTAATTTTTTGATGTGTGTAGAAATGGGGCCTCACTATGTTGCCCAGGCTGGTCTCAAATTCCTGTCCTTAAGCTACCCTCCCATCTTGGCCTTCGAAAGTGCTCGGATGTTGGGATTACAGGCTTGAGTCACCACACCAGCCTCCCTCTATCTAGAAACAGAATAAAGGTGAGGGGGTAGGTAGGCAGGATTAAACAAACAAAAAACACTGTCCTCTGTGAATGATCGATTCAACCAAATTAAAGACCATGTATCAAAACCCTGCACCATTCTCTCTACTGACAATCACACTCTTGCATAGTCCCTCACACTATAGCAGGAGTGGTCTGTATGACCAGTTGACAACAGCAGAAATTATGGTATGTTACTTCCTATATTAGGTCATGAAAACATTAAAGTCTTCCTTCTTCTCCCCCACTTCCCTCCCCTCTTCTCTCTCTCTCATCATCTGTTCTGGGGGAAGTCAGCTGCCAAATCTTAAAGACACTCAGGTGGCTCAGTGGAGAGGCCTATTGGTGAGGAACTGAAGCCTTCAGTCAACAGCCATGTAATGAGCCTTCTTGTAAAGAGACCCCCAACCCCAGTCAAGGCTTCAGATGGCTGCAGCCCCAGCCAATGGCTTCACTGCAACCTATGAGAGACTGAGCCAGAGCTACCCAGCTAAGCTGCTCCAAAATTCCTGACCTGTAAGATAATATGCAATTGTTGTTTTAAGCCACTAAGTTTCCAGGTAATTTGTTACCAGTAATAAATAATTAATTCACTAAGAATCTGTCATAAGTGTGGCTTCTCTCTGGATTATGATTACTCACTTACTACAGTGGTTCCCAAAATGCAAGCCTAAGCTGAATCCTAGTAGTTCTTCTTTGAATGCAGCAGCTTTGCCCTTGATACATGACTTTCTCTCAGTTCAATTGTATTAAATATTTGAAACACAGAAATGCCTGCCTGGACCCTCACCATGAATCCCCATCCCTTCTGATACCGGAATCTGGTTGCTATTTCCAGAACATTTCTCATCAAGACATTATCCTAACTTATGGTTTCATTGCTAATTCATAGACACTTGTCCCATTATAGAGATCTAGTGATTTCCATGTGAGATTTTTGCCCTCACACATGCCAATTCCCCTTGTTCTACCTGTTTACCTAACATCAATCAGATGTCAATAATGGAAAAGAAAAAAATCAAGAAGTAGGAGCTTAAGACACTGTGTACTGGCAGGGCTATTGCTTATTTCTGCCGTACCCCTCTTTCTTGTCATCTCTTAGTTCAGATGCCTTGGCCCTGTGCATAGTGTGCTCTATCTCATGAATCTGAAGTAAAGAGAATCAAAAGGATGAAGAGCTTTAAATCTTTTGACAACATTTAAGAGAGAACAGGAAATTTTCCTCCCTTTTCCTGGAAGTCTTTGCTGATGAATGAAAAATTGGGTTTCCTTTATGTAACCTGTCGATGGGGAGGCAAAACTTGTCCAGAAAAAATAAAAATGTTCTCACTGTGCTATGTTACTAGAATTGTGATCTGAAGCCTGGAGCAGAACTTACCTATGCTACTCATCTCAATCCTTTTAGGCAGTGGCACTAGGAGCCTTACTCTGTTCAAATTTGGTGCCTTCCTACAGTTATGGAAGGAAGCTCTGTATTCTCCTTACTTTCTCAACCTTTGATCCTAACAGAGGCAGTTTCTTTTTCTTTTTTTTTTTAATTGATAATTCTTGGGTGTTTCTCGCAGAGGGGGATTTGGCAGGGTCACAGGACAATAGTGGAGGGAAGGTCAGCAGATAAACAAGTGAACAAAGGTCTCTGGTTTTCCTAGGCAGAGGACCCTGCGGCCTTCCGCAGTGTTTGTGTCCCTGGGTACTTGAGATTAGGGAGTGGTGATGACTCTTAACGAGCATGCTGCCTTCAAGCATCTGTTTAACAAAGCACATCTTGCACCGCCCTTAATCCATTCAACCCTGAGTGGACACAGCACATGTCTCAGAGAGCACAGGGTTGGGGGTAAGGTCACAGATCAACAGGATCCCAAGGCAGAATTTTTCTTAGTACAGAACAAAATGAAAAGTCTCCCATGTCTACTTCTTTCTACACAGACGCGGCAACCATCCGATTTCTCAATCTTTTCCCCACCTTTCCCCTCTTTCTATTCCACAAAACCGCCATTGTCATCATGGCCCGTTCTCAATGAGCTGTTGGGTACACCTCCCAGACGGGGTGGTGGCCGGGCAGAGGGGCTCCTCACTTCCCAGTAGGGGCGACCGGGCAGAGGCGCCCCTCACCTCCCGGACGGCGCGGCTGGCCGGGCGGGGGGCTGACCCCCCCACCTCCCTCCCGGACGGGGCAGCTGGCCGGGCGGGGGACTGACCCCCCACCTCCCTCCCGGATGGGGCGGCTGGCCGGGCAGAGGGGCTCCTCACTTCCCAGTAGGGGCGGCCAGGCAGAGGCGCCCCTCAGCTCCCGGACCGGGTGGCTGGCCGGGCGGGGGGCTGACCCCCCCACCTCCCTCCTGGACGGGGCGGCTGGCCGGGCGGGGGGCTGACCCCCCACCTCCCTCCCGGACGGGGCGTCTCGCCTGGCGGGGGGCTGACCCCCCCACCTCCCTCCCGGACTGAGCGGCTGGCCAGGCGGGGGGCTGACTCCCCCACCTCCCTCCCGGACGGGGCGGCTGGCCGGGCGGGGGGCTGACCCCCCCACCTCCCTCCCGGACGGGGCGGCTGGCCGGGCAGAGGGGCTCCTCACTTCCCAGTAGGGGCGGCCGGGCAGAGGCGCCCCTCACCTCCCGGACGGGGTGGCTGGCCGGGAGGGGGCTGACCCCCCCACCTC
Organism: Homo sapiens; assembly: GCF_000001405.40. Taxonomy (NCBI): domain Eukaryota; kingdom Metazoa; phylum Chordata; class Mammalia; order Primates; family Hominidae; genus Homo; species Homo sapiens. The sequence continues at coordinate 3,727,099 of NT_167247.2, forward strand.
CCTTCCGGATGGGGTGGCTGCCGGGCGGAGACGCTCCTCACTTCCCAGACGGGGTGGCAGCCGGGCGGAGGGGTTCCTCACTTCTCAGATGGGGCGGCCGGGCAGAGACGCTCCTCACCTCCCAGACGGGGCGGCGGGGCAGAGGCGCTCCCCACATCTCAGACGATGGGCGGCCGGGCAGAGACGCTCCTCACTTCCTAGATGGGATGGTGGCCGGGAAGAGGCGCTCCTCACTTCCTAGGTGGGATGGCGGCCGGGCAGAGACGCTCCTCATTTTCCAGACTGGGCAGCCAGGCAGAGGGGCTCCTCACATCCCAGACGATGGGCGGCCAGGCAGAGACGCACCTCACTTCCCAGACGGGGTAGCGGCCGGGCAGAGGCTGCAATCTCGGCACTTTGGGGGGCCAAGGCAGGCGGCTGGGAGGTGGAGGTTGTAGCCAGCCGAGATCACGCCACTGCACTCCAGCCTGGGCACCATTGAGCACTGAGTTAACGAGACTCCGTCTGCAATCCCGGCACCTCGGGAGGCCGAGGCTGGCGGATCACTCGCGGTTAGGAGCTGGAGACCAGCCCGGCCAACACAGCGAAACCCCGTCTCCACCAAAAAAATACGAAAACCCGTCAGGCGTGGCGGCGCGCGCCTGCAATGGCAGGCACTGGGCAGGCTGAGGCAGGAGAATCAGGCAGGGAGGTTGCAGTGAGCCGAGATGGCAGCAGCACAGTCCAGAGGGAGACTGTGGAAAGGGGAGAGGGAGAGGGAGGAGAGGGAGAGGGAGGGGGAGGGGGAGGGGGAGGGGGAGGGGGAGAGGGAGAGGGAGAGGTCTAATTTACAAATACAAATTCTTATGAGAAAAATTTTAATTACTGAGGATGTTTGGTTTGAAAAGAAGATTAGTTACTACCAGTATTAGTACTATTGCTACTATCACCTCTGCTATTAGTGTTACTATAAATATTGGAAGCTAAAATGAACCAAGTGTTCATCACAGAGAAGTCATAGTATTAAGTTCCCTATACGCTATCTCATTTATTTCTCACAATAGTCCTGTGCTGAATGCCATAATTATTTGCATTATTATGAGAGTTAGGTGTGCCTGAAAGAAGCAAGGTAACGTCACCAAGATCAGAGCTACTAAAGAAAGAGCAATTATCAAGATTCAGATCTTTTTGACTACAAGGCCTGGGATTTCAATCACTAGAAATAAAGGTGTATGAGAAGTGGATGGCCCAGTTATTACATAAACCCACAGAAAATGAAAATGAAGAGGCTTAAATGAAAGTGGACACACCATGACTGGAGATACTATAGGACTTAATTTTAAGAACAAGCAATAACGTAACAGGCGTTTGAAGAATAGGCAGGACCCCATCCTGAAAACCTTACCCTGGAACACTTTCAGGTGTGACAGCCATCCTGGCTAGACAGTCCTAGCCTGGCTGGAATAGATGGTTACTGAAGATCTTGCCCAACCCTAGCCTTCTAGGACTTACACATCGTGTATCTCCTAGGACGGAACACAGTTTTACCTAACCTTCCAGTTTTCTCCCTCTTGTTTTTCTCCATTCTGCCTTCCCAGTATTTGCAGCTTTCCTCCTTTTTTTTTTTTTTTTTTTTCCAACTATACATGCAGTGGCTGTTTCTCTGGATCCAGATGCAGCTCATCCCAACCTCATCCGATCTGAGGGTAGAAGATACACTTCTTCAACGGAGAATGTTCCCCGAACTGGGATGCCCCCACACACCAAGGACAAGGGGAATCCAAAACCATCTTCAGTGTTCTGGGTTTACCACAGGGGAGACATTACTTTACCACAGGGGAGACAGACATTACTGGGAGGTAGAAGTAAATAATGGGGACAGAAGTTGGACCAGGAACGAGATGAGCTCTGGGTGTTTGTTCAGCACAATGAAGAGAGAGTGGTGGTTTGTAGAAAGTCCAGAGAAGAATTTCTGCATGGTGACATGTGAAGAAGGAAGGGTCATGGCTCTCACTTCCTGCCCAGAGACTCTGTCAGGAGCCTCCCTGTCCCCCTAGAAGGTTTCCAGGACAGCAAGGCTGGAGACGTGTCTTTTCACAACGAGGTCGATTAGTCCCACATCTATTCTCTTACTGGAATCACCTTCTGTGGGATTTTCCATCCTTATTCTAGCCTTCAGAGTGCTGGCACATCTGTGACCTTCTGCTTAGATCATCATGAAAATTGTCCTGATTCTTTTCCAGTTACCCCTGTAACTTCTTTAACGAGTTGTGATAGAGATGTTGCCCAGGAAGCTAATGTTCTATTAGCATAATAAGCAGCGAAGTGTTGGCACCTCTGCTGTCTCCACTGGAGCATCTTCTAGGTACATTCACCAGGAAAGCTGTCCTTGGATGGTGAGTAGGTCAGTTTCACTAGGTGTGATTTCACTTTCTGTCAAAGAGGAAGAGGCAGAAAGTGAAGTGAGAGAACTGGAAAATGTCCAGGGAGATTTCCTCCAGTGCTGCTATTGGGGAAATACAGTCTCTTTGTGGGCAGCAACTATTTCTCACAAGAAAACTCCAAACAAGTTCATGGGTTTCTCATCTGTTTTCATGCTGAGTGTGTGTTGAAGTATATAATTTTAAAGCTACATTTACAGGGAAATCTCTTCTTACTATTTTTGTTATCAAATATGGAGGAGGGGAGGCGTTTGAAGGGAAGTATTGCAGTAGAGTGAATTCTCACTTCCATTACCACTGTTGGAGATGCATAGGAATCTGTCCAAGTCCTTTAATAGCTCAGCGTGTTTGCTCTTCAGGCTCTAGTGTACAATCAACTGCTAATCTTGGACTTTGACAAGGGACGGAGAAGGCTCATGAATAATTGTAAATAATTGGAGGAGGAGCCCAAGCCTTCTGGAAGGAAAGAGCCCTTTTCTTTAATAAGTTCTCACTGGTCAGCAAGTCCAGAATTGTGTCCTATGTGAGAATGTGAATGAAAGAGGAGTCAATGTTGCAGTTTATACTTTAGGAGAGAAAGCAGTAAAGTAGAAATAAAGAAACATCTGTACCAAGAGTCATTGCTAACATTAACATTCTTTTTCTTCCTGACCTGTTCTGCCCACTGTTGAGGGTTTCCCTTGTCCTTGCTGCATGTAAGACTTCTCCAGCTGTTTATCATCAAGTTGTCTTCAAGGATATAGAATATGAGCTTCTCCTGCTTTTTGTTTGTTTGTGTATTTTTGTTTGTTTGTTTGTTTTTTCTTTGACGGAGTCTCGCTCTGTCACCAGGCTGGAGTGCTGTGGCACCATCTCTGCTCACTGTAACCTGCACCTCCCAGGTTCAAGCGATTCTCCTGCCTCAGCCTCCTGAGTAGCTGGGACTATAGGCATGTACCACCACGCCCAGCTAATTTTTGTATTTTTTTTAATACTTTAAGTTCTAGGGTACATGTGCACAACGTGCAGGTTTGTTACACATGTATACATGTGCCATGTTGGTTTGCTGCACCCATCAACTCATCATTTAAATTAGGTATTTCTCCTAATGCTATCCCTCCCCGCTCCTCCCACCCCACGACAGACCCTGGTGTGTGATGTTCCCCGCCCTGTGTCCAGGTGTTCTCATTGTTCAATTCCCACGCAGCCATAAAAAAGGATGAGTTCATATCCTTTGTAGGGACATGGATGAACCTGGAAACCACAATTTTTGTATTTTTAGTATAAGAGAGAGGGTTTCACCGTGTTGGCCCAGATGGTCTCCATCTCTTTACCTTGTGATCCACCCGCCTTGTCCTCAGAAAGTGTTGGGATTACAGGCGTGAGCCACCGCACCTGGCCGAGCTTCTTCTGTTAAATGAACCCTTTCTTCCTGATGATGGAAGAGATCCCCTTAGTTTTTCTTCTACAGTATTTGCAGATCTGTAAACCACAAGTGCCTCTAACAATCTGTCCTGTAGATGTATCTCCTTGGTGAAATTTCACGTCACACACTAAGTGGCAAAGACAGTATTCGAAGCCAGGAAGAATCAAGCCAGAGCCTAGTCCTAATTTCACTGACCCTAAAGGGAGGCTTACACATTTCATCAAGAAATAATCAAGGCAGGACAGAGGTAAATAAATGGTGATAAAATATTAATAGTTATAATCAAATGGACATGGTGGATGAGAAGGGATTTCTGGACATGCGAGCCCTAAACATGGGGGTAACAACAAAACAGGAACAAATGGGGTGGAACTGTGGTATAGAACACGAAATGTAACAGGTTCAGCCTTAGACATTTTACTTTTTTATACACTTAGGACATTCAGCATGAGGTTCAAGAGGAGTTTTTACTATCTCTTTTTCAGAGTCTAAATTCATATTTTTTCTACAACAAGATTCTTAAACTTGTCACTTCTTTACTCATTTTAATGGGTGTTTGTCCTTCTAAGCTTAGAGATTGGGGAGCAGTGGCTGCAGGTGGACATGGTAGAAAACGTGAAGGTGGATGGTTGATTGGACTCAGAGCTTTAGACCTGTCAGGGATAACAGTGTCCATCTTATTTTCATTTGTAGCTTTGAGTAAATCAATAAGTAGTGCAGGGTCTCCAAGTAGCCTATCCTTTCTGGAAAAGTGAATTCACCACCTGGCTACATCAATTAATTCTTTATTGCTGGACTACTCTGGCACTCCCATTTTTAGTAAAGTTTATGAAGGTATAATAAGACATTCCAAAAACAGAGTGACTCCACTGCAAAAAAGAAAGACCTGAGGGCAGGAATTATGTCTTATTAAGGATTGTATCTCTAGGCCTTAGCATAGTACATTCAACAGGTAAGATATTCAATAAATATCACTTTATGAGACAATTCATGCATTTTACAAATGTTTATTGATAATCAATGTATGTCATTTTTACAGGTTGTGGGGCTAGACAAGAAGGAAAAAAATCACTGTCCTCATGGAAGTTAAATTGTACTGACAAAGGAGGAAAATGTCAGGGAGTTAACAATTCAGTCTCTGTGGCTTCCTCCTGTCCTCTCCCTGAAACTGAGATCCAGCCAATCTGCACATTTATTCTGAGAGTGGCCCCACTTTAATGACTACACCCAGCTGTCTACACACCAGGAGGGGAGGGAACTGTATCCTGAGGCACCAACCTGATTACCCACCCAACAGCCACAGGGACTTCCAGTGACTGGGGCATCATCCTCAACGCCACCAACCCCTCTCCTTCCTGTGGCTTTTCTAACTGGAACTGGAACTCAGAAAGTACATTAATCACCAATTTGGGAAGCTATAGGAAAGTATGTTTTCTAATATACAGTGAGAGAATGTGACTGATAAAAACCAATTTTCTTGAGACTTTCTCCCTGGAAAGTGAATATATGTATTCATAGGGCCTTCACAAGCACAGACTAACAAGCAAAGAGCTACATTCACTAGGAAGGAAGACTCAAAAGTAAGTGAAAAATAATAGTTAACCTTTAGATGTTGTGCAATAAATTATTTTTAATTACATTAAATCAAAATAGTGTTAAAATATTTTCAGGTAAACCTAGTATATTTACTAATAAATTTAAGTCTTCATAAATATAAAGATAGATCAATGTAAATGTAAAAATCATTTGTTAAACTCCAGAGATTATATAAACAAAAGGTGAACCTAATGTAAAACTGTGGACTTTAGTTGAAAATAATGTGTCACTATTCTTTCATGGGTTGTAACAAATGTGCCACACTAATGTAAGATGTTAATAATAGCAGAAATAGGGGGGAGAGAGGAGGGATCTAGGAGCTCTCTGGATTTTCCATTTTATTTTGTTATAAATCTAAAACTGTTCTTAAAAATAATGTCTGTTAATTTTTTTTTAAAAAAGGAAAGAAGCACTGATACATGCTATGACATGGAAGAACTCTAAAAATATTAGGCTAAGGGAAAGAAGCCACATACACATACACATACACAGATAGTTTATGGTTCCATTTATATAAAATATTCAGAATAGAAAAGTTCATAGGGACAGAAAGTAGATTACCTGGGGAGTAGGGAGTGAAAAATGGGTAGTAACTGCTTAATGGGTATGAAGTTTCGTTTAGGGCGATGAAAATATTCTGGAACTAGAAAGTGATGATGATGGTCACACAGCAATGTCACATATACAATACCACAGAACTGTACACTTTAAAATGGTTAAAGGGTTTTATTTTATGTTATGTATTTTACCACAATTGAAAAAAATGTTTATTAAAATTAATGTGTAAACATTTGTGGAAGAATAATGTGTAGTTTCTAACATTTATGTGTTTAAATTTATGAGTTTAAAAATAGAAAAAAAAATGATGGCCCAGAAGAGCAAGTTCAGAGTGCTGTTCATGAGTGATCCGCATGGGACCGCGATGCCTCTGACGTCTGCCATCCTGGAGAGCAGCAGAGCGTCACTAGCAGGTCCTCGTCTTCTCACTTCATAACATTCTTTCCAAAAGTCTTGTTGACATTCTTCTGTCTTCCACATATAGTTTATCTTCTTGAACTCATTATAACTTTAAAATATTTTTACTGTGTTACATGTACTGCTTATATTTGTTTATTTTATAATTATTAATTTTAAATTGTGCACTTTATTTTGCTCTAACAATAAAATTGACATGTTCGTATAGATGATACATAATTTTTCGCTTGGATCGGAAAGTCTAAAATTTTTTTCCTGACTCAATTTCCTGTATCAACTTTCTCAAAAAGTCTGGAGGAGGGATTTTACAACACTTCATAAGATTTTCAAGATTATATTTTAGTGATCAGATTTTTCTCCCCCTTATGCAGCTGTATTTTCTTTCACTTTTTTTTAACTGTATATATATATTTTTTATTTTCTCAGTTCCACCTATGTGGACAATTAATTGTCACCATCTTAAATAAACTGATCAGGCCAGGTGTGGTGGCTCATGCCTGTAATTCCAGCACTTTGGGAGGCCGAGGCGAGTGGATCATTTGAGGCCAGAAGTTTGAGACCAGCCTGGCCAACAAAGTGAAACCCCATCTCTACTAAAAATACAAAAATAGGCTGGGCATGGTGGCACATGCCTGTAATCCCAGCTACTCATGAGACTGAGGCAAGAGAATTGCTTGAACCCGGGAGGCAGAGGTTGCAGTCAGCTGAGATCATGCCACTGCACTCCAGCCTGGGTAACAGAGTGAGACTTTGTCTCAGAAAAAAAAAAAAAAAAAAAAAAAAGAAAAGAAAAAGAAAAAAAAAAGAAACTGACCAAATCCTTGATTATTCCTTTCATTTCTTCCTGTAGGCTAAATTGTATTTCCCATGGGATTTTCTAAGGGTCCTTGATTATCAGATGTCAGATTGTGATTGATAGGCCGGATCTCAGAGAACCTGGAACAGGATAGGTCTCTGAAAAGATCAGTCTCCAGCAGATTTTCCTGAGTAGAATTAAAACACCTTGAGTTAGTACTTCAATGATCATGGCAGCCCCCTTCAAGCAGTTAGAGAAATGAGAAATGATCAGGACTCAGAATATCATTCTGGTTTCCAGAATCCCAGATTGTTATTTTCCTGATACGTTGGAGATGTTCTTGTGGGTACAGAAAAAATGTCCAGAGAACCTACATTAGGGAACCAAAGAATGAAGCGGGGTGCAGAGTCCCAGAGAAGGAAGTTTTGGGGAAGGTGTAGATAGGGCACTTGCCAATCATGTTATAAGAGGAGAGGTATTCAGAGGCACGGTCAGGGGGATTCTGACTTGTTCAGGGGCCACCTTCAAGGGGATGGGGCTTGGAAGAGAGGGGATGGCCCAGAACTCATTTCTTTTGCAATCCATTGCCTAAAACTCACTGTCAGGTGACACAGAGATGACTCTTTCTTTGCAACATGTGCTTGGCAACCTCCGGGACCCATCGCGCCCTGTTCCCAGTCTCCACCTCTCAGTACCAGCTCCCTGACAGGAGTTCCCTCTGGCCCATAGAGCAGATAGTCAGATCTCTGTGGGATATCTGGCTGCCTGAATGTCCATGGATCACACGCTTGTTTTGTTCAGAAGAAATCAGTCTCAGGTGAGCTGTGTTTGAAGCCAATGTCACATTCACTGTAAAGAAAGAGAATCCATTCTGATAATTAATCAATATAATTTCATTCTATTAACAGCCAAACAGGAAGACAAGTGTTTCACGGACATAAGAAATTTAAAGTGGAAGCACTTTCTAGAGCACACAAAACAGCCTCCCTAACACATGAGAAGTCACCAGCAACACAGAAATCACCAACAAGTAGGTCACCACATTTTTAAAGATCATAGGAAATTGTTCACGCCAACAAATCTCAGTGAACCTCAGCTCTCAGCCTTGAAAACAAGGATGGCTGTACTACTCACTTTTTTCTTCTTCTTCCCTAACCAGATCACTGGGGAATGGGCAGCAGGAAATCAAATCATTATCTTTTAATCATTTTGCTTCTATTACAAGTGGAAACACTGACCTCATGCATCACTGAGCCTGGATTGCATGATAAGCCCTGGGCTTTCCTGTTTCTCATGTTTCCTTAGTTACTGGATATTCACTGACTGCCTCCCATAGGTGACTTGTGAAAAGGGAGGCTCGGGGAAGTACGCAGTACGGTTCCCACTGCAGTGTGCTCCGCTGTTTCTGTTTCCCTGACTTACCTCTTTTCAGCTCCTCTTCCTGGGCAGGCCTACAGCCACAGCAAGAAGCAATCCCCAAACAAGCAGTGTTTTCCACAAAAACGTCATCCTGGACTCTAAAATGGAAACCCAAGAATCCCTTGAAACTGTGAAACTGGGACAATATTAAGATTGTACTTTTCATCTGAGCAGCTTCTAGGCTGGAGAGAAGGGAGAGAATTTGGCCTCCCAGGAAGCAGTTGGCCTGCTCCTCCCTGCTCTGGAGATGCAGAGGAGAGAATGCAAGTATTTCATGTTTGCTCGTCTCAGAAATGTACACATGCACAGACAAGTTTTCCCTTCTCTCTTCCAACTATATCACACAATCACTGGAATGACTTGAGGAGGAAAGGATAAAATTACTCAAGCCGCAACCATGAAGATGGTATTAATAAAAATCAGTTTCTAATCCAGAAGAAAATCCTCCATGAGGGGGAAAACACAAAGTTCTGTAATTTAATTGTTTTCACATCAGAAGAAGAGAATTTAAAGAGAGAGAGTGAAAACAGGGTCAATTACGAGAATTTAGTGTGTATCCAATGATAAAAATAATTGCAGGGCGCTAGTTGAGGGTGTCAGAGAGAAACTCAGAGGAGTAGAATCCCTGGGTGTCCTGAAAACCAGCTTTGCAGAGGATAGCAGGAGACCTCGTCAGAGAGCAGCAAATAAAAATCACAAAGGAAGAAGAGCAATACAATGAGTAAGTCTGAGTTGGTCTTCATATTTATTTTCCAAACCTGAAGGAACATAAGGAATCACCAACCTGAGAGAGAAAAAGTTGCGATTTTCTCCTCGCCCAAAAAGGGGATGCTGATGGAACAAGTGACGTCCACAGCGGAGATGTTTGTGACCCTTAGCAATGTCTGCACGTGGAACAGCCCGTGGCTGCCTTGAGTCAGGGCCTGGGAAGATGATGGTATCGTCTTTCCTTCCATGTCCCTCCATGGCACGTGGGGCTGTGGGAACCACCCATCTGAAGAGCACATCGGCTGCATTTCTCCATCTTCTTGCCCCTCCACAGTGATCAGTGGGGAAGAACCCAGACCTGGGGCAGAGAAAGCAACCAAAGCCTGGGGTCCTTTCAAGTGGATGAGTGGGCAGCAATTTCACTGGGAGGAAAGAAGGGGATGTGGAGGGCTTGGGGAAGGGAGAAAAGCTTAAGGGGGATTGCACTCCACTTAGGGATGAGGCTGGCTGGAGCATTTTCTTATTTTGTTTGTTTGCTTATTTTTATTCTTTGTATTCCTAAATCATTCTGGGATGATTAAGAGGTAAGGTAAATGTTCAAATCCAACATTTATTCTGTCCCTGAGAACAAAATAACTTCGGCCAGGGCATGGGTCACATGGACAGGATTAACATACGGAGTAGGAGGATATTCTCAAAAATCGAAACCTTATAAATATCTACGTCCAATGGCAGAAAATACGAGGCTCATGAAACTTCTCAACATGCGCTCCCATGGCTAAACGTGTTTATTAATTTAGAATCAAAATCCGTGGGAGAAACACGTAGCATATCCAAGACTTGGGCCTATATGTACTCAATGGCATCTGCTAACCTTGGACGTTTCAATTCTCACACACACGGACAGTGGGAAATGATGCTGCAGGGAGTGATTTCATCTTTTCTCCCCTGTCCCTGCCAAAACTGTCAATATTTATAATTTTGGTTTACACAGTGGATCCAGTTTAGTCTTCAGATGATTACAGTTTCTAGAATTTTATTGCATTTCTCAGAATTCTAATAACACACTGTGAAACAATGAGTCTTTTGTAAAATATGTAGTAAGATACTCAGATTTCCTTAAAGATATGGTCAATTTTTGAAGATACTGGAAAAGATACAAGTTATATGCCCAAATAATTAAATTTCATCCATTTGAGTTTGTGGATTTTAAGTAACTATGACAGTTTCACACACTGGAGGATTTGATATAAATTTGATGATGAATAAGCATTAAGAAAATTTCAAATGTCAGAGAAATTGTCCAGGAACTAGCATATTAAAGTGGCAGGAGCAGGTATTGAATACAAAATATCTATCTAGAATTCTTACCTACCACCTTCAGATCCAAACTGGCCTCTTGGTAGACATCATCTTTTTCAAAAAGGCAGCGGTACTGCCCGTCGTCCGAAGGTCTGGCACTGAGTATCTGCAGGGTCAGTCTGCCCTCGTCAATGGCGTCACTCACCAGCACAGTCCTCCCTCTGTACTCTGCCATCTGCTCTCCAGCCACATGGTCCCCATCCATATACACATGCACAGCAGGGTAACGGTGGGATCGGTCCCACCTCACCTCCATGCTCTGTGCATTCGCCTTGGGGGACAGGTAACAGGTTAGCTGTATATCTTCTCCCACTCTGACGAGGATGGGCTGGGAAGGTCCATTCACTTTTAAAGAAGCTGTTAAATAGAGTGGACAAAACACAATGAAAGAATCAAAATGGAACCAATAATGTCATCTCTAAGAACAGCTCCATTGGAGTTTAGAAACCATGAGCATCCCAGGGTTGCTGTGAGGCTCAGGGTCATCCTTAGGTGAGGTGGGGGTTTCATGGACTCAGAATAGAGGTTGCTCTTCTTTAAGGAGGAATCGTTCCATGATGTGTGTCAGTCTGAGTAAAACAGTAATTGAATCCCTACCTGCTTCTACCTGTATTTTTTTCAGTTTACAGACCAATAATAAAATAATTTTGCAATTAAAACTCCCAGATAGGCTGGGTGTGGTGGCTCAAGTCTATAATCCCAGCACTTTGGGAGGCCGAAGCGGGTGGATCACCAGAGGTCAGGAGTTCAAGACCAGCCTGGCCAACATGGTGAAACCCCGTCTCTACAGAAATACAAAAATTAGTCGGGCATGATGGTGGGTGCCTGTAATCCCAGCTACTCAGGAGGCTGAGGTGGAAGAATTGCTCGAACCCGGGAGGCAGAGGTTGCAGTGAGCTGAGATCATGCCACTGCACTCCAGGCTGGGTGACAAAGCGAGACTTTAAAAACAAACAAACAAAAAACACCCAGAATAAAGTGAACAGTTTATAAATTTGGCCCCAGATGCCTCTGTACCTGACTCCTTATGTAACAAACTGCAATTTAACTTAGTACGTCAACTACTGAAAGCCTAACTTAGGTTGGTTTGTTACATAAGCACTCAGGTACAGAGGCATCCTGGGGCCAAATTTATAAATTGCTCATTTTATTCTGAGAGTTTTAATTGCAAAATTATTTTATGAATAAGCCTAACTTAGGAGCTAAGGCTAACTTAGGAGTACACTTTTGTAATAAATAGCTGAGTAGCAGCTGCTGCACTTCTGTTAGTTGCAGGCAGCCAACTGTTGAAACCCTGTTCAAATCGGCAAACGCCAGGCTGCAACCAATAGAGCTGTCTCTGTACCTCACTTCTGTTTTCTGTACCTCATTTCCATTTTCTGTCCATAAATGCTGTCTGACCAAATTGCTGCTTTGAATTCTCTGAAACCGTTCTGATTCTGAGGGATGGCTTGTTTATGAGTCATCCTTTTCTCAGTTAGACTCTGCTAAATTTAGTCTGTCTAAAGTTTTTCTTCTAACACTTCAATTCTGTATGATTTTAAACTACTTCTTAATCTGTCTTAAACTACTTCTTAATGCCTCAGTTTCTTAAACTGTAAATTTGCTATACAACTACCAAAATCATAATGTTTCAGAGTTGAACAAAATAGTTTGCATTAAGTGCCTGGAAGACCCTGCAGCGTGAGCAGAGGTGCACAGACCTGTGAGACTTGAAGGCGTTGGAGCCATCCCCACCCTCTGACGTGGTAATAGGGAGGGGTTTAAAAACGTGTCTCATGTGGACTTTTGGTAATGATATTTGAAGAAGCTTTCCTCTAGGTGGACTTTATAGTACCTTGTAAGTCTGGTCCAGCCGCTATATTTTATTTCCCCAATGCTCCACATAGGTGGAGTTATAGACACACACCAGTTGAATGTCCTCAAATAATTTTGAAAATTAAAATTAACATTTTAAGATCAATAATTGGGGAAGTCGGCAAAGTACAAATTGTGAAACAATGATGAATGTAAAAAAGGGGTCTAATTCTCCCACTGTGCAAAGTGGGGAAAGATGTTCTCTGAGGGCTTTCCTGGGCCCAAGCTATATTACATTTTCCATTCTCATCAGGCCCTGCCCGTGCCATTTTTTCTCTATTCTAAATTAAGTGTCGTCCTTTTCTGTTAAATGATAAGAATGGTTTTGCATAAGGTGTGATCATTTATAATAGAAACACAAGCATAAAATTGTTGGTTCTCTGCATAGAGTCACTGGCCAAAGGCGTTAACATCCCATTATGTCATTGGCCGAAAACTGCCAGCTACCTTTGTAGAGAGGAAAGTCCCTGTCAACACAATTTGAATTTTCAGATTATTACCTTCCATTCCAGGTAACAGTTGACTCCCAGTTATTTCCAGCATTTTGTTTGCTTTGTCCTGTAATTTTACCTAAAACAATATTATTTTCCTCTCCTATGTATCTATTAAAGTCTGAAGACAAGAATCAGAAAAAATGGACTAGGGATTAGTTTGGGGCTGTTTCTGCATCCACATGGCTTACGGTAAATTACTTAATAAAACAGACTGTTTCCTCATCTCCTTTATCCATATGAGGATTTTATTCCCTGTCCGTGTGTGACCTGTGCACATATTAGATCTTAAACTGGCTTGCCCTGCCTGACATAGGTAATTAAGAGCTAAAATTGACTTCAATGGAGACTGAAGGAAGCAAAATGTAAGTATGGAGATTCAATTAATTTGATGCATTACAGATACAGACAAAACTCCTTTTGTCCAGAATCCAAGTAAAACTAAAGTTTAAAGTGCTAAAAAAATCATGCAGCCCTGTTTGTTAATAATTGATGTTCTACTAGAATACAAGCTCCTTGGGAGCCACTATGCCTAACCCACTTTTTTTTTTTCTTTCAATTTTAAGTTCCGGGGTACATGTGCAGGATGTGCAGGTTTGTTACATAGGTAAACATGTGCCATGGTGGCTTACTGCACAGGTCATCCCATCACCCAGGTGTTAAGCCCAGCATCCATTAGCTGTTCTTCCTGATGCTCTCCCTCCCCCATCCCCCAACAGGTGTCCAGTGTGTGTTGTTCCCTGCCATGCATCCATGTGTTCTCACCAATCAGCTCCCCCTTATAAGTGTGAACATGCAGTAGTTAACCTCCTTTTTCTATACGGTTTTGTACACAGCCTTCCAGACAATTTTGTGCTGAAATATATTGCTTTGTTTTGTTTTGGTTATTGTTTGTATGTTCTGAATGCCTTCTGAATATCCACTGAAAAATTAATTCCCTTCTGGAGCGTGAAGTACACTGAATTATACACTGATTCCTTGAAACCTGATAATCTCATCATCATACCACATAATCCTCTTTCAATCAGCATATTCAATTAATGCACTATCTCATTTCTCAAATATGCTAAGTTATATCTAATCTCTTAGAACTGGACACTACATTAGAGATTAAATTCAACCTGTTCACTTTAAAGATGAGAAAAATAGAGATGAATGAGCTGACAAAGTCACACATAAGTAATTAAGGACTTGCACTGTTAAGTTAGATAGATGTAGATTAGAAGGTAAACATCACCATTTCTTCCTGATTTTTGGCAAACCATGTATGTCTCTAAGATTGTTTCTTAGCTGTAATATGAGGATAAAGCAATTAAACTTTATAATTATTGTAAGAAAAAATGAAATAATTCCCATAACATATTCAGCATCGTGCCTGGCATACAATTAATATTTTTAAAAACTATTATTTTTATAAATGAAAAACATTATTTGTAAGACTACAAGCAGTGATTTCAGTCTTAGGACTTCCATAGAGAGCTGGGTGTCCCATCATTAGAGCTCACCTGCAAAGCTTCCGTGCCCAGAGCCCTCCTCTCCCACCTGACAGGAAGCAAAGGGAAGCTCCGTCTTTCCGTGTTGGTTAATTGTGGCCCCGGAGGTTACCATGACTTAGGAACAACTGGACATGGGGTCGTATTTTGTGTGCTGGGTCTCCAGTGGGTCTCAGAGAACTCAGAGGAGTGACTCTTCCCCTAAAACCTTCTTGAGAGACAGACTTGTGTCAACCTGCCCCAAACACTGGCTTTACTTCCTGATCTCAGAAGGGTAAGATACACAGGTGTGTGTCTCTCCTCAGATTGTGGAGTTACTTTGCGCCTTCCAGGGACCCTTCCCTTTATGTTTATGGCCTAATGGGGTTGAAGGTGCCATAGTAGACTCTGGTAGAGATTGGGTTGTGTTTGTTACCCTGATTTTCCTCAAAAACTCTTTCGTGGGCTGAAAGGTGTGCTTAAGCTCACCTAAAGCACACACATGGATACACATTCCTGGAGCAGGTGACTTGATGGAGAGCAAGGAATTGATGGAAAGAGCACATAAGGGATCCACGTTCTATGCACCTAGGCAGGGAGGCAGGCTGGTTGCCTTGGGCTGGGAGAAGAGGCCATAAAAAGGAGGGAGCTAGTAAGGAGGTAAAGGGGAAACTCAAAGGGGCTCAGACATCGGCTGGTTATGTTTTAAACCACTTATCTCAGGTGCAGCAAAATAATACCCTCAGTCCAACTCCGAGATTTAAAAAACAAAAATTAGGCTGGGTGCAGTGGCTCATGCCTGTAATCCTGCCCTTTGGGAGGCCAAGGCCGGCGGATCATGAGGTCAGGAGATCGAGACCATCCTGGCCAACATGGTGAAACCCTGTCTCTACTAAAAATACAAAAAAAAAAAAAAAAAAAAAAATTAGCTGGGTGTGGTGGTGTGTGCCTGTAGTCCCAGTTACTCAGGAGGCTGAGGCAGGAGAATAGCTTGAATCCAGGAGATGGAGGTTGCAGTGAGCCAAGATGGCGCCATTGCACTCCAGCTTGGGCAACAGAGCGAGACTCCGTCTCAAAAAAAAAAAAAATGCCCGGCGTGGTGGCTCACGCCTGTAATCCCAGCACTTTGGGAGGCTGAGGTGGGGGGATCACGAGATCAGGAGATCGAGACCATCCTGGCTAACACGGTGAAATCTCGTCTCTACTAAAAATACAAAAAATTAGCCGGGCGTGGTGGCGGTTGCCTGTAGTCCCAGCTACTTGGGAGGCTGAGGCAGGAGAATGGCCTGAACCTGGGAGGCGGAGCTTGCAGTGAGCCAAGATCGCGCCACTGCACTCCAGCCTGGGCGACAGAGCAAGACTCCGTCTCAAAAAAAAAAAAAAAAAAAAAAAAAAAAAATTGCTACACTCACAGTATCCCAGGTTGCACTCAGAAAGTAACAGCTCCCTCCCAATAGTGATTAGCTTAGGGGTGTACTGGGGTGAGGAGCAGGTGCAGGACCCCATAGCAGAGTTGAGCAGGGAGGTGCTGGGTGCAACCCAGGTTGTCATAATGATGCTGCCCTTGTTCACACTTGAAATGTTTTCAAAGGGCCTCCAGGCCCCGGCCAGCTGTCTGCTGTCATCCCCCACACATTCTGAGGCAGCTCCCTTTCCCCTCAACACATAGAACAGAGATGATGCCATGCTTCCTATAGGTGTCCATCTGATGCTCACTGGAATCTCCATGAGCCCCCAAAGTGTCAGGTAACACAGCTGCAACCTCCTTGAATGAGGCCATTACTTTGCTGGTCTCCTCTGGTATTTAATGAACATAGGACCTGGTAAAATCGTGCCTCAGTTTTTCCTCTGGGTCACATGGTCTCGTGGTAGCTCCCCTCCCTCTGCTGGGGAGGGCAGAGGCTCCCTCCACAGGTGTGTGCCAGCACCTCGTACTTACCCAGCTCAGTCTGGAGTTTCTCTGGAAAAAGAACAAGAATAACATATTAAGGAATTTGGTGTAAGGGAAAGGAGAGAAACTATTTTTTAAAAAAGAAAGCAATTTATACATTATATAGGGAAGCTCAATTCATTAAAAAAATGAAATGCAGAAAAATACTGATTCTTTCCCACAGATTACCCAATGATACAGCTTTTTTTCCTTTTCTCTGCACAACAAAAATGCTGTCACTTCTATCTCCCCATGATTCTGTTGGTTTCTTCTGATATTTACAGCATAAATACTTAGCTATCAGCATGAAAATAACATATGTTCCTTTTATAGATACACAGAAAGTACAAAATTATATGGACATAAACAGTATCACCTAAATTACAAAGTAGAGAGACGAATTATATGTAATATACAATCAGCTTCATTTAAAATTAAAATGTAACATTAACTTTAAAGTTTTTTTAATCTATCCATTTATATGAATAACTGTATACTTATATCCAAATGTGGAGGGTATCCTGAAAGTTTTAGTGCAGTTATAAGTTATTTAAGGCCAGTAACTTTTATGTGATTGGAAATGTCAATTTATAGGTAGATGTCATGTTTATCATTGAATAGTGCATCATGAGGATTTTTTTCAACCATTAAAATTATTTAAAAATATCTTTTTATTAATGCTATAATGTATAGTAAGACAAGATTCCACACTGTACTGTTGTATTGGGGGGTTGGTTGTTTTTGCTGCTATTTATAAATAAGGCCATAATTAATATTCTATTATGCAAATAGTTGTCTACATCTCTGATTATCTTCATATGATAGATTTCTAGAAGTAATCAGCACAAGACAGCATAGGAAAACATTTCAGTTGAAGAAATATAGCTTTATTTTCTTTACAATGCAATGAATACTTGTGAGTAAAAACAATCAATGCAGAAGAAGGAAAGGTAGAACTCAAAAATAACGCAGGCGCCATAACAGCTATTCAAGTAAAATGTAGTGCGTATATTTCCAGTCATAAATGTTTTATGGCTTTCAATACATATTGCTATATGATAGACAATGTCTCTTGATAAAAATACGAGGTGCTATGGTGCAGTCCCTGGGACCTCTCCTGCTGATCTGAGCGTGTGGGTCCTAGAGGCAGAGCACTGACCTGGGAGGCTGATGACCGACCCCTTCTCCTCAGTGAGGACGGGGTTGTGGACCAAGCAGGACACAGACTCTGCAGAGGCGTTCCTGACCACCAGGGTGGCTTCCGCATAGAACAGGCCATCTTCATCTTGGATGCGATGCTCAGACACGGCCAGCAGCTTCTCTCCCCGGATGTCTTCCCAATACACCTGGGGCTCTGGGAACCAGCCCCTTGCAGTGCACACAAGCTGGACTCCACTCTCCCCAGGTCCCTCCATGTGGATGCTAGGGGCAGACCCCAGACCTGCAGAGGGAAGCCACAGCTCTGACACCCAGAGCCCACAGAGGCAGAAATCACAGAGGCTGAGATCCCAGTGACGTTGCTCACAGGGAGGTGGCCGGAGTTCAGGAGTCTGAGGAGCAGAAAGTCGACCTCAGTCTCCCCATTCAAATGTGAGTTCAGATACACTTTATTTGTTCCCCAGTCTGCGTCTTTACATTTTAGCATCTGACCAGTACTTTTCTCCAGATCCAGAAAGGGGAATCGGAGAAGGGGGACATCATGACATTTTGCAACGCTTCTAGCACTGCAAACAGAGATGAGCTGTAATTTATTCATTAATTCCTCTGTGCCATGAACTCTGCCTTTTTCATCTTAAAATTATCTGTATTGGGCACATTGTCTGGTATTTTAGATGATGTCTTGAACTCCAATTTGATTGAAGATTTAACACAAAGTCAGAAATCACTCCCCAGGGGCCTGTTCTTCCTGCATCTTTTGCTGGTGGCTGTGATCTTCGGAAGCAAGTGGATAAACGGGAGCATGTGAAATGCGAATCTCCACGAGGCGTTATTTGTAGCTAAATATTCTATTCAATGGGTAAGATGGTTTTGAGAAATCCTAGTTTACAACAGTTTATGAAATCATGGATTTTTTTTCTCTATTTAACGTGAAACTCCCACACCCAAACTAAGGGGACTATATTTTCCATAAATGGGAATTCTGTCTTAATCACTTGCTGGTAAAAGAGAGATCCACTCCCTTCCCTTGGACCCTTAGAAAATGTGTGACTTATTTGTAAATGTTCCTGATATTGAAATACATCAGTACGTTCCCTGTCCCCCCATGTCAGAAATATATGTATTCCTCCATCCATTTTGAATCACCTTGAACACAGTAACAGTAATGGATGTTAAGAAAAAAAAAGGTATTAGGAAACAGCCTTCCAGGGAAGTAAAGAAGGAAGCAGTATCAGCTGGAGACGTTAACATCTCCAGAGAACTATTTTCCCCATTTGCCTTAGTAATTGGATTTACTTGATTTTCTCTTTAGAGCATGGAGAAGTTAGCCCTGTCAGGG
Organism: Homo sapiens; assembly: GCF_000001405.40. Taxonomy (NCBI): domain Eukaryota; kingdom Metazoa; phylum Chordata; class Mammalia; order Primates; family Hominidae; genus Homo; species Homo sapiens. Next base: position 3,746,027 of record NT_167247.2, read on the forward strand.
AATCATATGATAGTTTACTTTTCATAAGACAGATCCATTCTTCAGTTGTCCCCTTCTTCCCTACTCCTTCCTGCTTAGCTAATACAACAGCAATATGAAGAACCTTCCCATTCACAGAGGGTGTGTCCAAAAGCATCTGTGAGTCCCCAATTCATTGAACACTAGTATATAACAATCTCCAAAGCACGACATTCTTAGCCTTTTCAGTCTTGTTGATAGCTTTCTAACTGAGGGCATTTCACAAGGAAAGAACATTTTCACGTCTCAGTTTCTGCATAGATGGGATTGGGTAGAGAAAAACCAATGCCCTGAGATACAGATGCCGGACGTCAGCTGGGCTCATTCATGCAGCAATTGGTTTGCTCTTGCGCACCAGCCTTAGGTAGCACAAATGTGTGTCTCAGCAAAATTGCTAAAGACTGCATGTCATGGATTCCAAATAATCCTCAAGAACAGTCAAAACTGTGCAAATTAAATTTGGGAAAATATTTTAACACTAAGCTTGAAGACTCCAGAACCACTTATTTTTAAATCAATCAGGGTAGAGGACTAAGCATTAGGAATTACCTTGATGATTCAAAAGGATTTCCTCAACTGTCACAAAGCTTACCACAAATTAATATATCTCTGCCTCTTGAGACCCTGTGTCTTTCCCCAGATATTCACCTGCTACTTTGAGCAGCAAGCTTGTTTCTCCACAGTAGTTCCCATCCTGGAAATGGCACCAGTATTGTCCATTGTCGGAGGGCTGGATGTTGTGTATCTTCAGTGCCACATTTCCCTTTGCAATGCCATTCTCTATCCACTCTACCCAGCCTCTGTACTCCTCCATCTGCATCTCAGTCACCTCCACTCCATCCCTGTGCACAAACACAGGTGTGCTGGGCTCTGAGCGGTACCACCTCACCTCCACGTGCATTGTGGTCCTCTTGGGGAGTAGCTGGCAGGTTAACAGGGCATCTTCCCCAACCCCGGCCAGGATAGGATGAGCAGGGCCAATGACTCTAAAGTCTTCTATAAAATAAGTGAAAAAGAGGAACGAGGAAATGCCAATCAGAAAATCATATGCATGCTTTGGGGTGTCCAGCCTGTCAAAATGGAGGCAACTAGAAGAGGGAGAGATATATGTTTAATGTTTTAGAGAAATCCAGCATGATGATTTGCACATCTGTTTGTTACAGAGTCAATTTTGTGTACTGAAAACAAATGCAGTTCAAAAATGTGGGTGAGGTTGCTGTCTGTCACCTACCAGCTATGTGATTCGGTGGCAAATCTATTACTCTTGGTAAGATTTTGAGATTTGAAGTCCTAATTTCTTCATCTTCAAGATATTAATACCAGCATACCTGGGTTGTTTTTATTCTCAAGTAAATTATTTATTCCTTGAGTCATTTATTCTCATGTAAATTGACTTTTTAAATTGGAAACCTTATTCTTGTTATTAACATTTTATTTTCCTGAAGTTTAGATAATAAATCCATTTATTAGCTTTTTTAGCCTTTCAGGATTCCTCTTCTCTTAGATATAAAAACTGTTTTTTTTGTTTTTTTGTTTTTTTGTTTGTTTTTTTCCCGTCTGGAGTTGGCAGGAGGCCAATTACTGGGACTATGTACAATGCAGTTTTCACAAGGACATTTTGTGCTGGATTAATGACACTGGTTTGTCTAGAGATTTTTGGGTCTTCCAAACAAATTCTAAGACATGTCTGATCTCTTCCTTGTTATCTGCAAATTGAAGAGATGTTTAACAGTTAGGTATGTTATTATGTTTGATCATTTTATGTCATGTATGATATGTTCTTTCTCATTCTAAATGCTCCGGGGCCATTTGCTCTTTCTCTGTGCAGATCCAATCCTGCTAGGAAGAACCTCACCCTACTTAGCTGCTGCTGGGTATCAAATAGATGCTGCTCAAAAGGTGGCTAAAGAGCCTAAGTGGAGATCTGCTTGTATTCTTCATTGATGAAGTCTAAATATGAAGCTAGAACTGAAGACATTCCATCAGATTGACTGTTACAGGGTAGGGAGCTGCAGCACAAGCACAGAGAAGCCAGCAGCTTCATCACATCACACCAGCTCTGCAGGGCCAAGGCAGACACACCAGCTCTGCGGCACCGAGGCAGACACACCAGCTCTGCGGTGCCGAGGCAGAGCCTGCGCCCTCTGATGCTCTGTGTCGTGTTTTTTCCCACTTCGCCATGCTGCATTTTCCTTAGGGCTCTGACATCTCCTTCTGACACTGATTTTTTTTTTTGACACTGAATTTTTAAATAATTATTTTTCAAGGTGCAACATTTTGACGTCAAAATTCAGCTAGTGAGATTTCCAAAGTCCCTTTCTTCTAATTTCTTATTTCCAAGTATTTTTTTTAATTGCAGCTTAATTTATGATAAGAAGCAGCTGCATTTCTTGACCCCAAAGTACTAGAGTGAATTAATAATTTAACGTGGTGCAACCACTGATTCAAGTGCTTTTAATGTCTCATTTAATCCTAAAGCCTGTGCTGGCCTCTGAGATGTAGTTACTGCTGTTATTCTCATTAAAAAGATGAAAGAACTAAGGTATGAGGTGCTCTAGTAACTTTCCAAAGGTGACTCAGCTAGGAGTGGAGGAGCTCCTGGGAGTGGAGGAGCTCCTCAAAAGTGAGGAGTTCCTTTTTGGATACAGGTGGCTTGGCCCCAGACTTACACTCTTAGATGTTGTTCTCGACCTTTGGACCCAGACTAGCTCACTGGGACATTAGACTATACAGTAAAGGGAGAAGGGAATCCTACCTGACTGCTTCATTGTCAGCAGGATGAATAGGAAGGAGGCGACTGCACCAGACAGATTGTAGCCTGGAAAATCCACCATCCTCCCTGGAACAAAGACAAGGAAACGCTGTGCCTAAGTGAGGCTGTGACACACCCGGCACACTCCATGGCTTCCATTGGTTATGCAGTCTTAGCAGAGAATCCACATCAACCCCTGCACAGTCAGTGAAATGGGCTTGGCTCCATTTCTCTGCAATTACTGATCACATCCAACCCTTTACCTAACGTGTTATATTGTGAGACAATGTAGCAAATGTAAGAAGCCTTGCTTGCTCATTTCGGCTTGCTAGCATACTTTCACAAAGCCCCTGCTGTGATGACCTGCAGTTCTCCAGAAAGATGCTTCAAAGACAAAACAAGATTGAGCACACGGCCTCCCATCTCTCTTGCCTGAGTCACTCTACTCCTTAAAAGATAAGGAATAATAGTCCTTGCCTTTTCCTACACATAAGATAACGTCTGATTGAAGAATACCTCTGTAACCTATAACCCGATCTGCTCATACACCCATACATTGATGTAGTTCGGCTTCAATGTAGCTTCTGAGCTAATTTGATGTAGTGATTAATATGTAACCTCCTGACATCGAAAAGGATATGGATTTGTTTCTGAATCATAAAGTTTTACTGATTGTTTTGTGCATGAAATATTTTAGTCTATATATTGTCATCTGTGTCCAATGATTGTAACCTCTGTATTGTACCCTCCAGTGAAAAAAGACAACTCCAATATGAAGAGCCCCTTTCTTTCTGCCTGAACTTCCTTACAAAAGCCTTCCAACTTGTAAGACTTTGGACCACCCTCAACTTCGTTGGTGTGTCTTCCTACATCAATCCTGACATTTGCCTTCCAATAGAACTTTATGAAATTATTCCTGCCTCAACAACCCTAATTTCATGAGACAATATTTTAAGCAATTTTTTAGGTGTAAGGAAGTCTTGTGACTGAAATGAAAAAACACTTGAGGTAAAGGAACAATAATATTAAAAAAACCCCAAACCAAACCAAAGCAAACAAAACTCCTTAGGTTCATCTGTTGTGAGCTTGCAAAACTTATAGAGCAAGATTCAAATATTTTTTCCTGTCCTCCTCCCAACTCCTCCTGCAAAGACTTTCTTTACCACTGTTTTCTACACATGGAGGAAAGGGCAGGAAGGCTCTGCGTCTCCACACTGCAGCCAGAAAGCCAACATTCAGTGCTAGCGCTCAGAGAACCCGGGACACAGAGATGCCGTGGAAAGTGAAAGAAAGAGTAGTAGAAAGATAGTCGGGAAAATATCTGTAAGTGGCCTTTTAGAATAGACTTAAAAACATGAATGAATTAAAAAAACAAAAAGCCCAACTGGCAGAAACTGGCAAACCCAGCAACCCCACTGTCCCAGCTGAACAAAAATACTTCACACAGCTAAAAACTTTAAAACTTACCAGGACAAGGATAGAAGGCTAGTTTTACCATTGAAAAATACAAACTTCAGAGTGAAAGAAATCTAAGACTTATTATATGTGATGTGTCAAGTATTTTATTGAAAGAAAACTTGCTTCACACAAAGTAGAGAAACCAGCTCAGGAGCAATGTCAAGTCAATTACAGTTTCCCCCTTTCCAAGAAACTACTGCTAGTAAGATTTTATGGGACAGGGGTAAAAATCAACATTCTGAAATGGAGATTTAACAATCAAATGAGTCAGGAGATTGTTGTTACACAAATATTGCCCATTTGCTTTATAAAAAATATGTACTTTCATATAAGATATCTTTAAGGAAACTTATATGAGCCCATTCACAATACCTAGATCGAAAAGGGCAGTATGATATTTATGTGAAAATGGGGTTGGGTGTTAGAAGACAGTGCAGACCATGAGCACCTTGCCACCTGAAACTTACTAGTCACCTCCCCTTAGACTGAAGGGTGTTGCTGATGCCTCCTTGACTCCTTTTGTGAAAAGCAGGAACATTTTTTTCCACCAAGTAAGAGTAAAGAAAGCCCCACAACATCCATACCAAGCATGATTTCTCAGCCGTGTGAACTAAAATGAACTCACACTTGCTACAGACCACTTCAGAGGCTTGTGTTCCTGTAGGTCTTTCATGTCAAAGCGGTGGGAGGGAAAATCTACAAGTGAACTCTCAAAAAAATTGCTCAAATCAATGAAGCTTTCGAAGAATGTTGGGAGAATCCATCTCCAGTGCTCAGATAGATTGTGAGAGAATATATCAGGGAGGATAACCACCTTGGACCAGGGTTCTTAATGGGGAAAGAGGCTGTTTTGCCCTTAGAGGACATTTGGCAATGTCTGGGAACATTTTCAGTTGTCACGACTGGGGGAGGGGACATATATTGAGTAGAAACCAGGGGTGTTGCTAAACATTCTATGAGGCACGTGGCAGCCCCCACAACAAAGAGTCATCCAGCCCAGAAGGCCGGTGGTGCCGAGGAAATGCCCTGCCACAGGGTTTGCTGTCAGGATGCTGAAAAGCTTTGGCACATTTTTTGAAAATAGATAACTAGACTTAAATTGCCATCTTTAAGTAAAAACCTTTTAAAAAGATAAGCTTTTGACCCCTCCGTTTTACTATTTGGATGTAATGCAAGAATCTTCTGAAACTGTTGTTCCTATTAAATATAGTAAATTTTGGTGTTGTCAAGATATATGATCTAATATGCAAATGTATCATCGAATTCTCAAAAACCCATGTTTAATTTAATTTAATTTTCTGGATAAAGTATAAGTGTTAAATTGTAATAATAAGTGGTAGCTTATGTTTAGGCATTAGATGATGAACAATTCTGAATTTCAAGGCCTATCCTGCACTGCTAAAACTCATATCAAAGAAAATTGCAAATTACTACGTATCATGGGTCATTAGAACTTTTTTCAGTAAAAGCCTCAAATGTTGCTCCTCAAAATGCCAAGCAGCCATAGTAACTGACTGGTAAGAATAAATTAACTTAGTTCACGAAGTCGAAAGCTTATGTATCTATGTAGACATTAAAAACAGCTATAGTTTATCATATGTTAATACATTTTTATAGAGAAAGCTAAAATAAGATTTCTAGGAGACAAAGTGAATTGGGTTTTTGTGTGTGTGTGTGTGTGTGACCTTGGACATCTTTCTTTACTTTCTTGAGCCTGTATTTTCTCTGCTGTGTGGTGGAGACAATCATCCTAACGTTTTCCAAGCTGTGTCATGACCATGTGACAGAAGAAGACGTTAAGGCTCAGGGACACATGCCCCACATCATCCATGACAAATGAAAATGTGATCCTGGTTTTCTTGTTTATAATTTCGTGCTTCTTCCTCACTCAGCCTGCTTCACGAGAACACTGTGAGGGTCAAATGGGCTACGATCGCACTTTGAAGACTGCACAGTGGGATATAAATATAAGTGGGAGGCAGTGTAACAGGTGGCAGCATTTCCCTAAAGGACATTGATTCCGTCCGTATGTCCTACTCTGTAATCTGAGACAATGTCCCCAGCTTCCCGTGGCCATCCTTCACCAGGGAATCCAAACCACTCACGTGTCTCCCTCTCTCCTTTGGGGCGAAACCTGGTGCTACTGGGTCTTCTCACTTGGCCCCAGATGTATCTTCATCCACATAGCAGGTGGTCAGAAACAGGTCAGAGCCCTCGGGTGTGCTGATCAAAGACACACCAGAGAGCCAGAGAGTGTGGGAGAGCCAGAGAGTGTGGAGGCCTCCTCCAGGACTTTGGGTGAAGGAGGATTTAAGCCGTCTCACCCCAGTTGAAGGCAGAGCCAAATCCCGGAGGCCCTGTGAAAATGAGATTGCATTCCGAAAATCAGAATAGCACATTCACCTCCTAACAGCTATAATCCTTTCAACAGTGAAACTCCGGGGACAAGTGGACTTTGGCTGGGTTCAGTTGTGAATTCTGCAGACGTGCACACAAAATCATGACACTGGCAATTCTCACCTTCCCCAGAAAGCCAAGGCCTTCATGGAGGCCTCATCTGCAACCCCCCAGTTAGGTCCTCACACAGACCCCACCGTCCCACACATCAGCGGGTGCCATCCACCCTTCCCTCCACCTTGCCACACATCAAAGATTCCCAACTAGTGCCAAGTCTCCACCAGAGCATGGCACTCATCGGGCTGGAGTTGGAAGCAAAACTGAATATCAAACGTGCCATCCCTCATTCCACTGATGAGAAAACAGAGACCCAGAGAAAGGAACTGCCCTCTCCAGGATCAGAGCTCTGGGCCAAGGTCCCTTGTGGGCTACTTTATTGCTCTTTTTACTCAGGTACTTTATCTCCCTTTGCTGAGTAATAAAAGGTTTAATTACTCTCAGATGTTTACCAAAGAAATGTAATAACCTTCTCAGCATAATATTTGGGCATGAAGAGTATAATGATAGGCATATTTTGTGTGTGTTTTTGTTTCTGCCAGATTTTCCTTTACGTTCCCCTTAAGTCTGTGTTCCTTGAGCTAGAGGGGGTCTCAGATATAGTCTCAGGATTTCAAGAGTTCTCCAGAACAATTTTTAATTTAATTGCAGATTTTCATGTCAATGTAATAATAAAAGCATATGCAGCATTATGATGTTACAAGGTTTGAGCCGATTTTTTCCTTAAGTTTCTTTCCCTCCCGTTATGAGCAGCCCATAATTGGGTCCCCTGACTTACGGTTACGATTCTTAATGTAAGGGTTTCCCCCTCCATCCTTCAGTCTAGACAAAGACCCTCCCCTCACTGTAGAGGATGAGAGATTTGGAGAGAAGAGAAACAATTAAACATGGACGAGGATAGGAGGGTCTCTTTACCCTGGTTCTCTCTCAATTGGAGTAGAGGGGAATGAACCCCACTTCACCTCCGGTTCCCAGAATGGTAGCGATGCCCACAGATGTCCCTCTCAGAGTGGCAGCAAAGGAAAAGTTCTCCAAGGCAAGAAGTGGCAGACTCTGGAAGGCTCCAACAGTGGGATGAAAGTTTGCTGCCTAAAATGCTGGGATGGAATGTTCCAGCAAGAGGAGAGTGGCATCAAGGACATAACAGTGATCGTCACCACTGTGGGAAGGACAGTGACGACCAGGAAACACGATGGGATAGTGACATATTGTGGGAGCTGATGATGCAAATGTGAGGAGAGACTTCTACACCAGCCCTGCACCACCTCCCACCTCAGAACTTAGAAATCACACGGCGGGTGAAGAAGAGGCTGCTATTAAATTAATTGTGTGAAAGCCACTGAATTTATCTGGAAATTACCAGATGAACTCCTCTGTCAGAAGACATAATAATGCTTGGCATACAAATTAAAATCCGTAATAGGAAAATATAGAAATTTACTTTATACACCTGAATGTGTGAAAAGATGCCGCTCATTGCATGCATTCTGTAGTATCATCTCTATGGTACCAAATGCTGGAATTATTTGAATTTTTTATGGTCAGTCACATCAGCGCCAACTCACCGCGTAAAGAAGCTCCGTTTACACTCGCGTGTGTGTGTTCTCACAAATCATCTGCATACACTTTCTCAGAGGTCTGCCTGTGCTGAGAACTGTGTCCTAAATTATGCTACATATTATGGGAGGCCATTTTGTGCAGGAAGATGTTGGTGTGTGGGAGAGAAAAAAAGGAGTCACAATCTCTGCCATTCTGACTAGAGTCCACCTCCAGGAGAAGCGGGAAAACAAGGCATAAGCTGCTAGAACTGAGGAGAGGGAAAAACAAGCATCCGGCGAGGGCAGGAGGAACAGCAGAGGGGAGTCATGGATCTGCCTGGCCACCAGAGGGCAGCAGAGACGGGCTCACTGTCGGCTTCAAGGTTGTTCCGCAAGTCGATTCACTTACAGACTCTTCTTCAAATGCGGCGGTCACCTGTGACCCACATTCATAACTCCCTCAGCCACTAGACGACAAAAGAAGCCCTGAGTTTAGGCTGACTGAGATTTTCATTCTAGCTTTGCTATACATTTGGGCAAGCTTTACTTTGGGTAAGTCTGTTCTTTCCAGGGGTCTCAATTTTCTTAGTTTTTACACAGGGATAGTATGTGGGTGGCTCACATTAAAGTATCGTTGTAAGGATAAAGTAAGAATATAATCATGATACAAAATCCCTATATAGCTATTAGGTGTCATTACTGGGAATGGAAGGTCTTGGAAAGAAGGTGGATAGAAAAATAGAGGAGATTAGAAATGAAGATAAGAAATCAAGGTCAATCCAAGAAATGTCAGGAAAGTGTTGCTATGAATATGGAGAAGTTCAGGCGACGCCATCAGCTGTTTCTTGGGGACCTGGTTGAAAGATGTTTTGAGAGCTCTTAGATCAACTCACCAGAAAGATGATTACTTTGTGGAGTCTCCCAGCAGTGAGACTTATACAGGTATCGTTTCCTCAGGGAAAGGAAAGAAAAATCAGCAGCTCTCATCTCCTGGAGGCACAGTGGCTTGTCCTCCACAGTCCCCTCGGTTTGCTGACTGACTGGAGGAGAGAGAGCACCTGCAGAAGCCCTGCGACTCCTCCCCCAGATGTGAGTGGGGGGCCTGGGATTCCCGAGGCCAGTGAGGGGAGGGTGGTGCTCACAGGACGGAGGCCTTTCCTCACAGCGTGGCCACGGTTCAATCTGCACCTCTGGCCATTTTTCTTGATTGGCAAAAAGAAGGAAAGAAGAAAGGAAGAAAGGGAGGAAGGGAGGGAGGGGGGAGGAAGGAGGGAGGGAAAGAAAAGAAAAGAAAAAAGAAGAAAAGAAAGAAAAGAGAAGAAAGGAGGAAGGGCAGGCAGTAGAACTTCTGAATAGGAAAATGCCCAAACATTTAGGGATGGAGGACTGAGGTATTCTTAGTTCTGGCTGACCTACAGTCTAAGTTGAGCTCTTTACATACATGGCTGTCATATACTTTACAAAAAGTGTCTGACAAACCAGTTCCTCTAAAACTTTTAATTTTAAAAAATTTAGGTTGGGTGTGGTGGCTCACACCTGTAATTTCAGCACTTTGGGAGGCCGAGGCATGTGAATCACCTGAGGTCAGGAGTTTGAGACCAGCCTGGGCAACATGGTGAAACCCCGTTTTTACTAAAAATACAAAAATTAGCTGGGCGTGGTGGTGCACGCCTGTAATCCCAGCTACTCCAGAGGCTAAGGTAGGAGAATCACTTGAACCTGGGAGGCGGAGGTTGCAGTGAGCTGAAATTGCGCCATTGCACTCCAGCCTGGGCAACAGAGTGAGACTCTGTCTCAAAAAATAAATAAAATAAAATAAAATAAAATAAATTTTTACTTTTAAATTTACTTTTATGAAAGAGTTACAGAAGTTTAAGACAATCACAATGATCATCTATTATTTTTTGAAAATGATGAAATTACCTAAAATTGATTCTACTGCAGGTGGGAGCCTATAAGACTAAAGTTCCCAGGAAGAGATGTAAGCTTCGGTGAAGCCCACCTCAGTTGACTCCAAAACTAATGCAGATGCCCCCTTGGGGAATTGCGGGGAGGGGGTGTACAGAATGTGTTAATACCATCACACTCCTCCCAGGACCCCAAAGAAGCTGCACTCACAGAGATATCCGGGCATGTCTCACACTGGAAATAGGGGACCCTTCCAAATATTGGGAGAAAGAAGGCAAAGAAAATCATACCGATCTACTAAGCCTCCTGCATTTGCACCCATCCAGCCTGCCATTCATCCTGGGTTCTTTTACTTGGTCCTCTTGGGGCCTCTGAGAGGATCTCCATCTCTGCGAAGTGCATTCCCCACCGGGCTGTTGCAGTTCCACACATGGCCAGTAGATGACAGGTTTGTTCAAGAACCGCCTCCAAGATTTTACTACTGCACCGCGATTTCAGAGTGGCGGGAAGGACTGAGAGTCCCATTTAGAAACTTCCCAAATCTTAACTGCCAATATCTTTCTTTCTAAAATTGTGTTTTTGTATTTCGTGGTAAACTCAGTTCAAAGCCGCGGATGGGGGCAGGAATAGGAAAACTGCTGCTGCTGCTGAATATGCTTCTCTCTCTTAAAGGTCCCAGCAGAATTCTGCCACTGAACCACCCTGGGAGAATGCGGGGGAAAGAGAGGAGGAGAGAAGGACAGAGAGAGAGAGAGAGCCAGAGAGGATATGAGGGAGATAGGGAGAGAGGACTGCTTCATTGTCTTAAATTCGTTGTAATCACGTCGCAATACCAGGCACTCATTCTTAAGGTAGCAAAGCAGAAAATATTATAAGTTCAGTTATTAATGTCATTTGCACTTTTGAGAGTAGAGAACATAGGCACTAATATTATAATAATTCAATAACTATGAAGGAATCAAGACAATCTTCAGGGAGGATGTGGTGCATGGAATGGAATGTAAGGAATCGTTCATACTTCATGTAGGTTTAGCATTTCTTGATTACAAGCTAAATAAGGGGTGGATTACTCATGAGTTTTCCGGGAAGGTGGTGGGCAATTCCTGGACTAAGGGCTTCTCTCCTTTTTAGACCATATAGGGTAATTTTGGATGTTGCCATGGCATCTGTAAACTGTCATGGCGCTGGTGGGAGTGTCTTTTAGCATGCTAATACTTTATAATTAGCATATAATGAGCAGTGAGGATGACCAGAGGTCACTCTTGTGGCCATGTTGGTTTTGGTGGGTTTTGGCCCGTTTCTTAACTGCAACCTGTTTTATCAGCAAGGTCTTCATGACCTGTATCCTGTGCAGACCTCCTATCTCATCCTGTGACTGAAAGTGCCTTAACCTCCTGGGAATGCAGCCCAGTAGCTCTCAGCCTCATTGTACCCAGCCCCTATTCAAGATGGAGTTGCTCCGGCTCAAACACCTCTGACATTTGTGGACACGTAGAAAAGGATAATTAATGGGTTAGCAGGATGAAAGGAAAACTATACCCCAAAGGATAGCCTAGCCATTGAAATTGATATGAACTGGAATATGAAAATAATTGGGGACAATTTAGTTTCATGACCATATATAAAACATTTAACTATGTCTGGTTGTATTTTAACATAAAATTGGGCATGGGAAACTATTTTTAAAATATTCTTTATTTTTTAAATTGACCTGGATTTTTCTTTCAACTTTTATTATTTTAAAAATTAGTTTAAGCCTGGCAGATTTCACATAATTTCAGACTCCTTTTGGCAAACAGTAAACATTACAGCCTGGAAAGCTTGATTGCTTATATATAATACCCTAAGAGAGCTATTGAAAATGCCTAGAATGTGTGAATTTAACAATGGTAAAATACAAAAACAAATTGTAATTCTATACACCACAGCAGAATATCATATATAAAATTTAAAAATCACTTCATTATGACAGCAATAAAAACATAAAATACTTAGACATAAACTGAACCGAAAGATGTGTGATGTGAAACTATAAAATACTGATGAGAGAAACTGATAAAATTCTAAATGTGTAAAGAGATATAATATATTTTGATTTGGGAAGAATTGATATTTTTGAAATAACAGTTCTCAACACGATCTTGATCAATATTCCCACTGGGTTTCTTTGTGGCAATAGACAATTCTAAAATTTATATGAAAATACAAAGGATCTACAATAGCCAAAACTTATTTGAAAAAGGACAGAAGAAATATGCAAAGCTTGGTTTCAAGTCATGCTTCAAAGCTATGGGCAACATGTCAAGGCTAGTAATGTAAGTTAGAGAAACTTCAACAAAGAATTGTGCTTAGTTGTGGGAATCCATGGGAGATTCTGGAATGAAGATGCATAGGAAACAAATGCAAGAGATGAGTCCTGGGCCCTCAGTCATTTAGAGGTTGGGAAGATGGGAGACTTGGCAAGGCAGGCTGAGATCTGGCTGTTATTCTCATGTGATGAGAATCTCAAGACAGTGAGGTTTAGTAACAAGTCAAGAAAATACATCAATGATGCAGTAGTGGTTAACTACATAAAATGCTTCTGATATGATGAATAAAATGACATCCTAGAGATGACCATTGGATTTGGCAACATGGAGCTAACACATGTCAGTGACAAGGAGTTCAGTTAAAGATGTGGACTGTAGCCTGATCTGTGAAGAGTGGAAGAAGAATGGGGAGGAATGGAAATAACAGGTGCAGCCCAATATTTTTAAGAGTTTCCTTCAGATTAGAAGTAAAAATTCATCAGCAGAGTTGGATTTAGGGAAAAGGAAATGCCGTGGCATGTTTATATGCTGATTGGAATCACTCACTAGAGAGAGGAAATTTTTTTGGTAAACTGGATAAAGATACTTACAACATATTAAACCATGAAAAGGATTAGTACCCAGAACATAGAAAGGCCTCCTACAAATCAATTAGTAAAGGACTATATTTTTCTGAGAAAAAAAATGGTAAAGGCAAGAAGAAACATTTTATAGTAACATGTATAAATGACATGTGAATATGTGAAAAAATTTCAAACTCTTCATTATAAGTCAGAGAAATGTAAATAAACGCCACACTGAAAAAACAATAAAAATATCAAAACCTAGCAAGGATGTGGGTCAATGTTTCTACCAACAGACTTCTGAAGGAAATAGAAATTGTTAGGATCATTTTGGAAAACAAGTCAGCATAACATAGTAAGGTTGAAAATATATATACATTATCATACTACATTACTACTACAATGCTACTCTAGAACATACATCAAGAACTATTGCAAGTTCATTACAACTTCATTCCTAATAGCAAAACATCAAAACAACTTAAGTATCCATTAACAACTGAATAACTTTATATATTTTCATATCAATTATAGTTATTTATACTATATAGTTATTTATAGTTAAATTCATAAATGGAAATAGCTTTTTTTTTTGAGACGGAGTCTTGCTCTGTTGCCCAGGCTGGAGTGCAGTGGCGTGATCTCGGCTCACTGCAAGCTCTGCCTTCCGGGTTCACACCATTCTCCTGCCTCAGCCTTCCCAGTAGCTGGGACTACAGGTGCCCGCCACCACGCCCGGCTAATTTTTTGTATTTTTAGTAGAGACGAGGTTTCACCATGTTAGCCAGGGTGGTCTCGATCTCCTGACCGCGTGATCCTCCCGCCTTGGCCTCCCAAAGTGCTGGGATTACAGGCGTGAGCCACCACGCCCGGTCAGAAATAGCTTTTTTAGGGCTGGTAAAATGGCCTTCATCTAGATTTTCTCATGCTTGTTTGTGAATTGGCTCCCCTCTCGATGAGCTGGTGCACTATCATTATGAGTTTTGTGCAACATTGAGTTCTTGCTTGGCAAGTTTTGTAGAATTTCTTTCCTGGGTTTTGCATGCTGAAAACATGGCTTCATTGGGCATTGGTAAATCAAACGGAGAGGAGGCAGTGCGGCAAGTACAAAGACCATAGTTACAATACTCCAAACCAAAAATATCTGAGACAGATCTCAATCAATTTAGAAGTTTATTTTGCTAGGGTTTAAGACAATGCCCAGAAGACAAGTCTGTGGCTTTCTCCAAAGATGATTTAGAAGCCTTCAATATTTAAAGGTGAAAAGCAGACTGGAGGGAGAATTGAATAGCTCCAATAGTGTACTTTCCTTGGTAATTTTCACTCTTCCTTGGACTATCACATAGGTTGAAACTCTGATATATGTCAAGGTTGTAAACCAAAAAGTGTCTGAGACAGGTCTTAAGCAATTTAGAAGTTTATTTTCCCAAGGTTAGGGACATGCTGGAAAGAAAAAATCATCAAATGACACAGGCAATCTGGTCTGTGTCTTTCTCCAAAGATGATTTCAATATTTAAAGGGGAAAAGTGGGCTGACAGGGAGAGAAGGTATGGCAATCCACATGTTGCAAGGAAAAAGGGGCAGGTAGGGGAAGAGTCAGTTATGTATTCATCTTGCTCTCAGTAAATCATCGCTTTGCATATGATTAGGTGAACATAGAGTAGCTACCGGTGGGGATATTTTTAACCTTTTATCTGTAGCTATCTGCTTGGAAACCAAAGGAAAGGCAATTTCTTGCGTGACTCAGCTTTCACCTTAATTCTTTCCTTTTGACATGGTGAATTGGGGTGCCAAATTTTTAGTTTCCTTTCACAATTTATACAAAACACAACTCAACAGACATCCTCATATCCCAGTGTATGTGGCGGCTCTGGATTCTATTCCTGCTCACCTGGACCTGATTGATCTGATATAGGCAGCTTGGAAACTACTTAGGTAGATGGTGGGGAGGGAAACGTTCCAGCTAACCACGAGCAAGTAAAATACAACTTCACATCCATCATTATCCAGCCCCAAATCATCCAACATCTAGATAATTCCTTAGAGTAAGGGAACAAGATAATGGCCACAACCAAGTAGGAAAGAATCACGTATACAGACGATTTTCATTCCCAAAGATCAGAAGATGTAAATGCAAAGAGAAAAAGTGCTTCCTACGATGCCAGCTCCAGCTTGATAAGAATATATGCTATTTATTATGTGAGGGGGAAACATGTTCAATACAGCTAGCTGCTTCAGCTTCCATGTGGTGTTTGATACCTGTGTTCCTTTTCATTTGGCTCAACTTCCATTAAGCACAAAAACCTCACAAAATGTTCAAAGGGCTAGAGGGACAAATTTGGATTTCATGCCTCACAAATAAAGGAAGGACTCCATAAGATAAAAATACGCTTTCCATAGAAACCTTGGAAGTCTAATATGTGGAATAAGGTGAAATAGAAACAGATCATCCTTCATAGGAACTGAATCCTGAGTTCTAACTAACTAATCCTAGACTAGATTTGGGTGATTTGAGATATTAATGACCTTAGCCTCATAGCCTCATTGCCTGACACAAGCAAAACTAAATAACCTCTAGAGAAATATAATATTTCCTGGAGCCTCAAATTATCACTCATATTTTTCTTCTGCATGGCATCAATTAAAAAATATATAAGAAAACAAAAAATAATAAAATCCAAGAAAAACATAACAGAACATAAATATACGACTTTGACTTCTCTGTGGGATACTGCTAGATTAACTCAACACTCCCAGTACACCAGCTAGAAAAGTTAAAAATTTAAAACACAAAATTCGTACTTTAAAGGAAAAGGAGAGCTGTGGAAGCAACATGCACTAGATGAAATACAATTGCAGAGAATAGGTGATCCTTTTGAGGTGAGCTGACAATCACAGCTCTTCCCCTGCCACCCATGGGGCATTTGCCAATTCATTGTTCATACAGAAGAGGTGTCATGGGCTCAGGAGGGAATCTGCTGGAGAAAGGGAAACCAAGCAAGGGACACAGGGACAGACTAAGAAATTAGATATTTGAGGTTCTCAAATTCTCAAATTCATGGCGTGATTTCCCCACAAGATATTTCTTGAGCTGTGGTGCAGCACTGAGCTATGAGCCAGGCCCCAAACTCCAAAGGCAGAATGAGGACTCCTCCATGTTGCTTGTGTTCAGGACACGGAGAACTGCCTTCAGCCTGGGTCTGTCGAGCACAAGGTGGGTCTCCCCGTTTTCACATGTGCCTGCTCCTGAAGCCACCTGAGAAGGAGGCCAGGGAGCTGGGCCAGCAAGTACTGAAGTTCAGGGCTGAATCTCTCACTGACATTTGTAGGAACAGAGACCTACCTGGGTCTTAATTAAAAGCTCTGGAAGGAGAGTCATGGCCTCTGGTATTGACGGAGTAGTTTGTATTGAAATAACCCTCTTGCTGGTAACAATGATAAATTCTGGACCACCTTCATTTTCCAACTTATTTCATTGTGTTGTGATAAGAACACCTTACATGAAATATACCCTCTTTACAAGTTTTTAACTACAACACAGTATTGTTAACTATAGGCACAATGTTGTATAGTAGATCTCTAGAACTTATTCATCTTGCATAACTAAAATGTTATATTGGTTGAACAGTAACTCCCCCATTTACCTTGCCCCCAGTCTCTGGCAACCACCAACGTATTCTCTGTTTCTATGAGATTGGCTACCTAGACACCTCATATAAGTGGGATTGAAGCAGCCTCGTTTGTCTGGGGTGACCTGAGGTTTGTTGTCTCGTGGCCATAGAGATCAAGGATGCAGACACACAAAAAGTAAGGCTAAGAGTGGAAATTTAAAGAATGTCTTTATTCCTGTCTTCGTTTTGTTATTTACCCAGTAGTCATTCAGGAGCAGGTTGTTCAGTTTGCATGTATTTGTGTGGTTTTGAGTGACTTTCATAATCCTGAGTTCTAATTTGATTGCACTGTGGTCTGAGAAACTGTTATGATTTCCATTCTTTTGCATTTGCTGAGGAGTGTTTTACTTCCAATTATGTGGTCAATTTTAGAACAAGTGCGATGTGGTGCTGAGAAGTATGTATATTCTGTTGATTTGGGGTGGAGAGTTCTGTAGATGTCTATTAGGTCTGCTTGGTCCAGAGCTAAGTTCAAGTCCTGAATATCTTTGTTAATTTTCTGTCTTGTTGATCTGTCTAATATTGACAGTGGAGTGTTGAAGTCTCCCACTATTATTATGTGGGAGTCTAAGTCTCTTTGTAGATCTCTAAGAACTTGCTTTATGAATCTGGGTGCTCCTGTATTGGGTGCATATATATTTAGGATAGTTAGCTCTTTTTGTTGAATTAATCCCTTTACCATTGTGTAATGCCCTCTTTTGTCTCTTTTGATTTTTGCTGGTTTAAAGTCTGTTCTATCAGAGGTGTTTATAGTATTCTCTGATGGTAGTTTGTATTTCTGTGGGATCAGTGGTGATATCCCCTTTATCATTTTTATTGCATCTATTTGATTCTTCTCTCATTTCTTCTTTATTAGTCTGGTTAGCGGTCTATCTATTGATCTTTTTTTACAAAAAAAAAAAAAAAAAAAAAAAACCCAGCTCCTGGATTCATTGATTTTTTGAAGGGTTTTTCATGTCTCTATCTCCTTCAGTTATGCTCTGATCTTAGTTATTTCTTGCCTTCTGCTAGCTTTTGAATTTGTTTGCCCTTCTCTAGTTCTTTTAATTGTGATGTTAGGATGTTGATTTTAGATCTTTCCTGCTTTCTCTTGTGGGCATTTAGTGCTATAAATTTCCCTCTACACACTGCTTTAAATGTGTCCCAGAAATTCTGGTATGTTGTGTCTTTGTTCTCACTGCCTGAAAGGAATTTAACCCATAAGGAGGCCAAGTCAATGCTAGCTTTCAAGGCTTTTAAGTACAGATAACGGTCTTGCTTGAGGGCAATGTTGCAGGCTACAAATTAAAGCCCTTTGTGATCCAGCAAGGTGAAAACCCCAGGACCTTCCTTTAAGAATATAAAAAGAGGCCAGATACGGTGGCTCACGCCTGTAATCCCAGCACTTTGGGAGGCCGAGGTGGGCAGATCACGAGGTCAGGAGATCAAGACCATCTTGGCTAACACAGTGAAACCCTGTCTCTACTAAAAATACAAAAAGTTAGCCGGGTGTGGTGGTGGGCACCTGTAGTCCCAGCTACTCAGGAGGCTGAGGCAGGAGAATGGTGTGAATCTGGGAGGTGGAGCTTGCAGTGAGCCGAGATCATGCCACTGCATTCCAGTCTGGAAGACAGAGCTAGATTCCATAAAAAAAAATATATATATATATATATATATATAAAGTATATCCTGCCAGTACACTACAGGTGTAATAAAACATCATGGATGACCCATCTCCTCTTCCATGATTACATCCTAAATTGCTATGCCAGAGAAATAGAGAGGCATTGTCTGAAAAATACCATAACTTTCAAGATTTTGTTTATGGTTATTTGTTCTCCTGCACATCCTCCTGTTATTAATGATCTTTATCCCAATATCGAAGTGGTGCTTCTCCCTCTTTAATCCAACCAATGGATCAAGGAATTATAGCAGCTTTTAAGGTTTACTATCTGAAGAGGGCCTTTGCCCATGTTATTATGGTAACTCAGGAAGACACTGAGAAGACAGTGATGCAATTCTGGAAGGATAACAACAGCTATGGCTACATCAAGAACCTTGCTTGGGATGGGGATGATGTCACCGAGGAGTGTGTGAATGGCATCTGGAAGAAGACACTCAGGAGGTTTGTCTGTGAGTTCAAAGGGTTTGCCAAGGATGAGGAGATTGCAAAAATCTACAAGGCTTTGGTTGAGATGGCAAACAACTTTAAACTGAGTACGGATGAGGATGGCATTAGGAGCTCCTAGAGGTAGTTCCTTGGAATTGACTAATGAGGAGTTGTTGGAACTGAGACAGGAATGCATAGTTGAAGTAGTGGTCAGAAAAAAAGGAAACTGAAGGAGAAGAAGAAGAAGAACCCCAAATAAAATTCCCTGTGCAGGGTTTAGCAGGAGCTTTTGCAGACCTCAACAAGCTCCTTAAAAATTTGAAAACATGAACCCCAGCACAACAAGGTTTTCATTAATAAAGAGGAATGTTCACGGTGAATCATCTGCTTATAAGCAAATCTATGATGAAAAAAGGAAACCAAGCAAACCATCATGGACCTGTTTCTGAAGAGTGACACCTCCTCAAGAAGAGCCTCAAGCAGGTCCTTCAGGAGGAATTCCAGAAGAAAGTGTAGTTATCATAGGAGATGGCCTCTCCATGTGTGCTATGGCCCCTGAAGACATTTTGGTAGGACAAGATGTGGAAGTGGGAAACAGTGATATTGATGATCCTGACTCTGAGTAGGCCTAGGCTAATGTGTGTGTTTCTTAGATTTTTTTTTAAGTTTAAAAAGTGAAAAAAAAAAATTAAGTAGAAAAAAGCTCATAGTATAAGGATATAAAGAAAATATTTTTGTATAGTGTTTGTGTTTTAAGCTGTGCTATTACAAAACAGTCAAAAAGTTAAAAAATTAAGTATATAAAGTTTAAAAAGTTAGAGTAAGCTAAGGTTAATTATTGTAGAAAAACATTTTTCATAAATTTAATGTTGTCTTAGTTACAGTATTTATAAAGTCTACAGTAATGTATAGTAATGCCTTAGGCCCTTGCATTCACTCACCACTCACTCACTGACTCATCAGGGCAACTTCCAGTTCTGCAAGCTCCATTCATGGTAAGTGTCCTAGAAAGATCTACCATTTAAAAATCTTTCATATGGTATTTTTACCACACCTTTTGTATGTTTAGATACATAAACAGTTAGCATTGTGTTACAATTACCAATAGTATTCAATACAGTCACATGCTGTACAGGTTTGTCGCCTAGGGGTAATAGGGTGTACCATATAGCCTAAATGTATAGTAGGCTATAACATCTAGTTTGCGTAAGGACACTCTGTGATGTTCACACAAAGATGAAATCACCTAATGACACATTTCTCAGAGCTTGTCCCTTTAGCTAAGTGATGCATGACTTCAGTTTTGCCCCATTTCTAGAGCATAGTCCTCCATGACTTTCAATGAAAAACCCGATAGCTTTCATCTTCTCAATCCTGAAGAGCTGAAGGAGATTTAGGCTGAACTTAAAGAAATTTTCAGCTTAGCTCATTAGTCTTCTACTCCATACATCTTCAACATTTAACAAGTGTTTTGAAAAAGACACCTACAAAGTGCTTGAAGTCATCAACTCTCAAATCTTGTCATTGCAGCACCACGTCAAATGACAAAACACTTGCTATTTTCTTAGTCCACTGGAGGAGCCTATTGTCAGAGGCCAAACCTGGATTATTAGCTCCAAACAAGCACTCAGATCAGTAAGTGTCCTCAGGTGATAAGTGGTTGTTGCTACTTGGCATCAATTCACCAGTTCTTCTGAAACTTACGTCTGTTTTGTTTTAGGGCCCTTATCAATGGTAGGTCTTTGTTTCCTCAACACCACTGGACAGTGAAAGATTTTGCACTGCCTTTCAGAAGTTGACACTTTAGTTTTTTGTTTTACCTTCTACCGTAGCATCAGAAGTTAACCAACGTGTTTTGAAGAAACCAGAGTGTTTGAGATGCCTCAGTTTTCTAGTTACATCACACTGGCCCCATAATTGCTGCTGATTTCTTTCTTACAGCAGAAAACTGTAGGAAAATTGTAGCAGAAAACTTTTCTACAGCAGAAAACGGTAGCAGAAAAATGGCACTAAAACGCAGCGTACACTTGCAAACAGCAAATGCTACCAAGAGAAACAGTGATGTCCAAACGTCAGCTTACATTTGCATGGTTCTTCTTTGGAATTTTTATTCATCTAGTCCTATTTACTTTCTTAGCTAAACAATGCTTTTTAAAAATATACCTTTAAAATTTTATCCTATTTTTGTAGTTGTTGCCAGTGGGACAATTTGTCCTACTGTGACCCTAATGCATCTTATACTGTGGTGGAAAAAAGAATAAGATTTTAAATTGTGCTTTCTGAAAAACTGGATATAGAAACAGACAATGGCCAGACCATATATAAAAATAGGCCTGGCTGGGCATGGTGGCTCACGCCTGTAATCCCAGCACTTTGGGAGGCCAAGCGGATGGATCATGAGGTCAAGAGATCAAGACCATCCTGGCCAACATGGTGAAACCCCTGTCTCTACTAAAAATACAAATTTAGCTGGGCATGGTGGCGCGCAGCTGTAGTCCCAGCTACTCGGGAGGCTGAGGCAGGAAAATCACTTGAGCCCAGGAGGTGGAGGTTGCAGTGAGCTGAGATCGTGCCACTGCACTCCAGCCTGGCGACAGAGCAAGACTCCATCTAAGAAAAAAAAAAAAAAAAATAGACCTTTGACCCACAGCCTACAGCAGCCTGCCTGGGGAACCAATTCCCTTATCTTCAATAAACAATACAGCAAGGTAGTCTGCTTAAGTCCGACTTGCAGGAAGTCAGATTGCTGTCTCTAGTAACAATCCAGGAGGCTAAATAATAACTTTTATAACAATTGTTTTAAAATGGCCAGGACTTGATTAATAACTGACAGTTCCCCCAATATTTGTGCCTGCTTCCAACTTAGGACCAACCAGGGAAAGCTAAATATGCATCCTACCCAATTACATAGGATACTCCACTTCCAGTTACCCCTTAAGCATTCCCCATGCCAACAGCCTCCAATCAGGTCCCTTTTAACCACTATAAAGTTTCCTACTTCTTTGCCTGTCTTTGAGTCTCTGCCAAAATGCAAAAGATGGTGGCTGACTCCTTTGTTATAGCAATTTGTGAATAATTTTTGCTCTTTTCATTTGGTTGATCTTCATGTATTTTCACATTATTAAGCTTTATATAAATTAAAATCCAAGAGGCTAACATTTAATTAATGACATTTAAGATCTTCTATATCGGATAATGCTATACATTATATTAGGTTTAATATTTCTATTAAGTATAGATTTAGTAAATTACTAAAAATGCTAAAAATTCATCAAATATATATGTAAGTACAAATAAGGAGAATGCAAAGAGAGATATTAGAAAGGGGTAATATATTCAGGAATAAATATTCAAGATATTTTAAGTTGGAGATATTGTCTGTTGGTACTAAATCAATTTCCCCCTGTTTTGTGCTTTTTTCCATATCACTTGGGGTTGAAGCCTGGACACCACTTCTTCCAGAGTCCCTTTCTTAGGAAGGCACTCACTTGCGATTAGAAGGCAGTGGAAAATTGCTGTCATTCTGCTTCTGACAGCAAGTAGCAGCAGCTGCCAGGAGTGTGGGTTTGTTTAGTGCTGCAGGGCCAATAGTAGCTTCCTGCAGTTCCTGACCTTTGGAAGCACAATTTTGCTTTTTCTGTCCTTACAAAACTTTTGCAATGCACTTCACTGTATTACATCTCTCTGGGCTTAAAATACCTTGAGTGTGTTTTTTCCCCCTTGTAAATCTGGGCTAGACTGAATAATCTTGTAAGTATGTAAATATAAGCAACTATTTTAAAATAACCTGGGTTTTTAAATGTAATACAGATGCTCTTCAACTTATGATGGGGTTAACTCCCAATAAATCCATTGTAAATTGAAAATATTGTGAGTTGAAAGTGTAGAGTATAAGTTGTTCACCTTCATGATCATGTGGCTGAGGCTGCCTGGCATTGTGAAAGAGTATCTTACTTAGTATCGCTGGTCTGGAATAAGATCAAAATTTAAAGTATGGTTTATACAGAATGGATATTGCTTTTACACCATTGAAAAGTCAAAAAATCCTAAGTCAAACCATCTTAAGTCAGGTGTGTCTGTAGTTTAAAAAAAATTACAAATAAAGAATATCCAATGTTGTTGGGAGTGCAGAGAAGATTTACAAGGTAAACATTGATTTGTTTAAAGTTTGAGAGAAAAAATTAGATAATATGCTTTATGATTTTTAAATGTTAATTTCAAAATAATTATACATTCACAGGAGTTGATGAAAATAGTACAGAGAGGTCCCTTGTACCCTTCACCCAGTTTCCCCCAATGGTTACATCATACATAACTATAGCACAATATCGAAACAAGGAAATCGACACTGATACAATGTATTTGCAGTTTTCTACTTTATCACATGTGTAGATTCATGTAACCACCACTGTGATCAAAATACAGAACTATATTCCATCACCACGAAGATCTTCCTCATGCCACTCGCCCTCCTTAAGAGTCACACCATTCCCCCACCCCCACCATCCCTACACTGTGCCAACCACTAATTTGATTTTCATCTGTATAATTTTATCATTTAGAAAATGTTATATAAATGGAATTATACTATATGTGACCTTCCGAGACTGGCATTTTGTACTCAGAATAATGCCCTTGGGATCTGTATTAGGTGCTCCAGAGCAGTTGTACTAACAGGATATGTATATATAGAAAGATACTTCTTTTAAAGAATTTGCTCACATGATTGTGGAAGCTTACTGAGTCCAAATTCTGATGGAAGAGGCCAGCAGTGGAGGAGACTGGGACAGAGTTGCAGTTTGAGCCCAAAGGTAGTCTGCTGTGGAACCAGGAAGAACCAGGATTGCAGATGGAGTCTGAGACAATCTGTTGGAGAGTTCCCTCTTATGCTAATCAGGCATTCAACTGATTAAATGAGGGGAACCCAGTTATGGAGGGCAATGTACTTTACTTAAAATCTACTGACTTAAATATGTAACTCTCACCCCAAAACTGCCAGATGATGTGAAATTCCATGTCCTCTACTTGGCTCCATTGACACTCAGATGGAGTAGATTAAACAACAGACAAAGTCCTCACTTAACATCATCAATAGGTTCTTAGAAGCTGTGACTTTAAGCAAAATGACATATAATAAAACTAATTTGACCATAGGCTAATTCAGCGATCCCCAACATTTTTGGCACCAGGGACTGGTTTTGTGGAAGAAAATTTTGCCATGGATGGGGGTTGGGGACTAGCGGTGGCAGGGAGTGGGATGGCACAACCTAGATCCCTCGCATGCGCAGTCCACAATACAGTTCACAAAAGTTTGCACTCCTGTGAGAATCCAATGCCTCTGCTGATCTGACAGCAGGCCATTAGTGGTCTGTGGCCCAGGGGTTGGGAACCCCTGGGCTAATTGATGCGAACAAGATTTAAGTTCCTGTGGCTTATTTCTGGTCACAAACACATCACCAAACTCCTAAATAAAGACTCAGAACACTTCTAATATTAAACATTAAAATAAATGGGAACTATATATACATTTAAGGTAGGTTTATAATAACAAGTAAGATAATTAATTATCCAGTTTTTGGTGAATTAGTGAGTGATGGTGGTCACAGTGGTGGTGGGTTACATTAAGGAACAAATGTTTGTAAAAGGAAAATGGTAAGGAGCACCTCCTGCCACCACACAGCTCAAACGCAAAGAAGAACAAATACGTTGAACTCACTGAGTACTTTTGTACCCCATTGTTTACTATTGTACAGTTGTATGAATATCATGTACTTTACAAATGTTTATTTTAGAAACATTTCTATTCATTCGCTTATTCATTTTCCAACCTGCTTATTCCAGTTCAAGGTCATGGATGACTGGAGCCTATCCCGGCAGCTCAAGGACAAGAGAGGAACCAACCTTGTATAGGATGCCATCCCATCCATTGTGGGATGCAGACACACACACACATATACACACACACACACACACACACACACACAAAGTCACTCTGCTGGGACAATTTAGACTCACCAATTAACCTAACATGCATGTCTTTGGGATGTGGGATAAAACTCAAATACACAAAGAAAACCCATGCGGACGTGGGGAGAACACACAAACTCCTCATGGACAGTGGCCCTGGCCAGGAACCTATTTATTTTCTCACCAACATTGTAACAAAACGTTGAACAAAACAATGCTATAGGAGGACGCTCTGTGTTTCTCACAGTCCTGGAGGCTGGGAAGTCCAAGATCAAGATGCTGACAGGTTCAATTCCTGGTGAACTTAGAACTGAAGGCTCTCTGGCAGGGGTGCCTTGTGGCTGCAGGCTGGGTATAGAAACTCAGGCTCCCCACTAGGCCTCCACTTACAGAATCCTGACTGGGAGGGAGAGGGTCTCATCAGCGCTCCCACATGGCCTCTACTGACACCAGGAAGGGAGAAGTGCCTCCTTACACCTGGACAGTGGTGAAAGTCCCAGCTTTCTACTTGGCCTCCTCTGACAACACCTTGGCAAAGTGGGTGAGGAGTGCTTCCTTGCAACAGGGCAGGTGGAAGTCCAGGCTCTTCACATGGGCTTCACTAACACCACAGTGTGGAGGTGGCTGATTACTGATAAGCAGGGGCAAAAGTCCTAGGTCCCCAGTTGGCTTCCTCTGACATAAGCCTGATGGGTCTAGGTAGTGTCTCATTATCGCCAGGCAATGGGATAAGACAAAGCTCCTCACTCAGTGTTTGCTGACTGAGGCGGGATGGAAGCCCCTGATTTTTCTGTATTTGACTGGAGTAGTGCGGTTACTGTCAGTTATCTGCCTGGTAGGCTGCTCTTTCTTGTTCCCTTGGATAGAGAAACATGCTTTCCTTAGGATATTTTTGTCTGTGACTACTGATGTTTCCTGTTTTCCAGTTTCTCCAGCACTCATTCCTGGATATATTAGGCAGAAAGAAGACCTATGAAACTCACCACTCTGTCATTCCCAAATCCCATGGTCTGAGGCCAACCTGCTTCTCCTCTCCATCATTCAAGGGCTTTTTATGTCTGTCTGTAGCTGTACTTAGCAGGAGGAATAGGAAGAATTGTACCTACTTCAACTTGTCTTAGAACCAGAAATCTCTCACCATATTTTTTAAAATATGTTTTTGTCATATATTAAAATATTATACATCTATCCTTAGATCCTTAAATAAACATATAATCTATCCTTAGAGTTAATTTGGTAACAAAAATAAAACAAGACTAAAACTATTAATTATGTTAAAGCCATAAAAAATATGCAAATTTTTTCCCAAAATATGGGAAATGTGCGTGTGTGTGTGTGTATCTCCTATGTATACACATATACCATATGACATATACACATAAAAAAAAGACATAAAATGAAAATTGCCGATGTATCAATACCCGGGGGCAGGGAGTATTCTCAGGTTTAACTAAATACTCATATTCAAGTTTTTACCATAGGCCACACCTGGCTCTCAGATTCACTTAGAAGGATATTAGACAGAAGTCAAAGTATGCCAAAGTGCTGAATCAGGTCTTTTTCTTCAGTGGGAGAAGTTCTTGAAACAGTCCATAATTTATTCCAGGTGCTAGTTTCATACTCTGCCCCCATCCCCCAAGTGACAACTCAGGTACAAGGAGCTGAATTTACACCTGTGGAAGTTGTGTCCACCCTAGCTTAGAATCCTCATGTCATCTACGAGCTAGTACCTCTTATAACAAACCCATGGGCACAGCTTCCAGAGTCCCTGTAAAGGGCATGCTCAGTTACAAGGGTCACTGCATTTGGAAATACCCAAACTATGGGTCCCCGTCATTTGTTACGGTTCATGAAATATTCTTCCCAGTAAAGATACAAAATGCCAACCAGAAGCCATTTGTGCCATAAGCAATGTTGTCTAAAAATCCAGCTGACATTCTTCCTCCATCAGGTTTCCAGAAAACAGCTAGAAAATTAGCCTAAGATTAAATACATCATGGAGAAGTAGAAAGGGTGTTATAAAGCATTTATCCACAAGATTCAAAATGAAATACAGTTAATTTTGTCCGTTTTAAGACATTATTTCAACCTTCAAATTATTTAAAAGAAGTACATCCTATATTTTGTGTGCTTATTCAAAAAAGGCATGGTAATACTTATAAAAAGACTTTAAATATTTTTATAAGTTTTAAATATTTTATAAGTAATTTTATAAATAAAATTACAAACCATTTAAGTGACCTAATTAAATCAAACACACTTTGAATATGCACATAAGAAAAAAATTAGTTGAAGCATCCTGACTTAAGAAATCCTTGATCTTTCATAAGGTGTCTGAATACTCAATGTCAAAAACACTTATGAAGAATTAAACACTGTTGACCACAAGAGGGAAACCTAGTCCCAGTTATACTATAAATTAGAAAATCAAGGGAAAAATATGTGTCCTGAGAACTTTTGAAATAGTCACATATAAACATAGTATACAAGAAAAAACCAACCATCATCCCTACCCAAGGATATGTTTGTGGTATGAGTGGTTTTAGTGTTTTGAGTGGACTGGTTCTTGGACTCCACATATTATTGGCTACAGAGATAGAGACTTGATTTAGAAAATCACAGTTGCCACTTTCTAAGTAAGCCCTTGACCAAAAGACTAGATTTCTTTAAACCCAGTTTTCTCAGGTAAAATGGAAATACAACTATTATCTAATAAATATAAGTAAGCTTTAGTGTCATAGTCATAGCAGTAGTATTTTCAATTGGTAAAAAGAAACTGGACCCCAAAAAAGAATTTCAGTGAAAGCAGTAACAGTCTTCTGGCATATTTCTCACCTTTCTTTCTACCTTAAAGGTTCAAAGTTCCTAAGTAATCTCAGAAACCTAAAATAGTTTATTCTCTATCCTCACTATTGGTTTTTAAAAAACATTTTGCAGCATGGACCACTGCTCGTGTACAGATGCTCTCCAGCTTAACAATAGGGTTATGTCCCAATAAACCCATTATAACTTGAAAATATCTTAAGCTGAAAATGCATTTAATACACCAATAAACCCATCATAAAGTTGAACAATCATAAGCCAAATTATAAGTCAGAGACCATCTGTATTAGCTTAAGTCTTGGAATGGTTTATTTTTTAGATGCCATTTAGCCACTTATATTCTCTTCTATTTTATTGTGAGAACTAATTCCCCTCTTACATTCTGTGCTTGACCCATGCTATACTTAGTGTGAACAAGAGCCACCTTCTTCTCATGACTTCTATTTTTTGTGAAAATTTCCTTCACTCATTCATGACATTTGGATTTGAAATCTTACCTACTTAAGTACTTTAAAAAATCATTTTCTACCATCTTTCTTATCAGGAGGCTCTAGTGATTCCTTCTCCACACTTCTAACTTCTCATCTTCACACTCCTTGTCTTCCTAACTTCACTACAGTAAGTGTTTTACATGTTTAGAACTCAGCTCCTTTACTATGATTGCTAACCATGTACCTTAAATAAACCGTCTTCTAGTTTTTTGTTTCTTACTCTCAATTATACCTTTTAGAAAAGAATTAAGAGTAGAAAAAGACTGCTACATAGACATTCTTATGATCTTCAGAAATGAGCACAGATCATGCTTAATGAAAAAAGATTTCCAAATAATGCTGCATATGTCCAGAGAAAAGGTGGCAGAAATGACTGTCATCTGGGGGCACTATTGTCTGGACATGGCCAGTTCTCAGAACTCCAGTCCCTAAATTCCCTTCTAACTAAAGGAAAAGCCTCTTAAGGGTCTTATAGAAATCCTGCCACTTTCACCTGAAAGAATAATCTTCAGTTATGTGGCACATGGCCAAGAGTAAAAGTCTTTAGTCACTTGGAAGCAGACAGACACTGTAATGCTAAATAATTGGACATAACATGGAACTTACTGAGGCCTCAAATATCAATTTTACTTTGGGAAAAAGAGCAGCATCCTTAAAAGTGATTGAAAGTAACTCAAGTTTATTCCTTAACAGAGTGATGCTTAATCTAACAAAAAACATGTTATATGCACACTCTTCTCCATTACCTTGTAAGAAAACTGGACTAGGAAACACAGCTGAAATGGCCAGTTCTGCCTCCATTTCCTAAACCGTGTTATAATTATGTCTATGTGACCAGTAACAGACAATGACCATGATTTATACTTTTTCATATGTTTGTTGTTTTGTTTTCAATGTTTGTGGTCTTTCCTCAGTATCAGCTAAGAGGCCATTAACACAGATATCTATTTATGGACATGCGAGACTGTTGTTCACCTCTTTTGCAGAATTCATAAAGAAATGATGGGGAAAACACATCAAAGATAGAGTGGATAAAGCAAATGTGCCACATATACACCATGGAATACTATGCAGCCATGAAAAAGAATGAGTTCATGTCCTTTGCAGGGACATTGATGAAGCTGGAAACCATCATTCTCAGCAAAATAACACAGGAACAGAAAACCAAACACTGAATTTTCTCACTCATAAGTGGGAGTTGAACAATGAGAACACATGGACACAGGGGCCTGTTGGGGGGGGTGGGGGGCAAGGGGAGGAGAGCATTAGGACAAATACCTAGTGCTTGAGGAGCTTAAAACCTAGATGACGGGTTGATGGGAGCAGAAAACCACCACGGCACACGTATACCTATGTAACAAACCTGCATGTTCTGCACATGTATCCCAGAACTTAAAGTAGAATAAAATAAATAAGTAAATAAGGAATGATGGGACAAACAAGTTTCTGTTATTGTCTCTCTACTGACCAAAGGGTGGTCAGAGAGTATAGGATGAAGCAGATTTGTGATATCCTTGAATAGATCTGCTCTTTACTATGAATTCTATCATCTACTCCCGGCGTATGTGGGAAAGGGACCAACCTACTTGCCTGGAATTTAGTGAAATTGTTTTCTAGGGGGACCAAGAGTTTCCTCTACTTGATATGAAGTTGGGTGGTTGAAGATGATAGGATTGGCTTCTGCTTCCATCAGAATCCTAAAGGGCAGGGTATATGGACTAGTTGGTATTGGATCTTGGAAACTGTGATGCATTGGGAATGGTCACACTCCCAGAGTTTGTGGACACAAAGAATGTTTTAGTGTTCCCTATACACCAGACACGGGCCATGAAGGAATCTGAAGAGCCTACCAAACCTTGCACAAGAGAAAAGCTTTACTTGGAACATCATCCAGGCGCAGAGAACACAAATATTTCATTTCCAGTAAGACGTTTCTGGTCTTTTTCTCTTCCTCCCCTTCCCTGAACCTACCCTAGATGAGCTATGGCCTCAAAGTGCCAGTAGAACATAAGAAGGAAGGAGAACCACACTCATTCCTGCCTTCAACAATTTACACAGGGATAGAAAGAGATTTATATTAAATCAAGTTGGGACTTTCAATTATTATATAGTACCAAACAATCTAATTGCTGAACTAAGATATACTTGTGCAATTTAAGGGAATTGTAGAATAGCATATTAATTAGAATCAAGAAAATAATTCATGAAGTATGCTATAATTCCTACCCAAGCGCAGGGGAATAGCATCTCTAATGAAATTCTCTAAAGAGGCAAGAGCAGGCACAATGAGTTTTTGTTTGATTAAAGATTCCATTTAGTGCTTATCCAACCTAGCAATTACATTTGTATGCTTCAGATGTTTTAAAAAAATAAACAAAAGAAAGTACCTTAAATAAAGAATAGGATCAAATAGTATTTAAACAATTGAGTAAATTAAAAAATTATATGAATTAGATTGATTGAAATTGATACTTTCCTAATTCTCCTCCTTCAACACACAGACACACACACACACACACACACACACACACACACGTATGCATACAAACACATCTGAATTCTATAAAATCATTCTGACCTTGATGAGATTCCATAGTTTACTCATGCAACAGAACATAATGTCTAAATGAAGTTTCTGGTCTCTGTTTTACATGGATGATTGAGTAAAATCATTCCCTATTCCTGGAAGAATAGCTAAGAAAGGATTCACAGGTGAGGACATGCGTTTTTTCAGAAGATGAGAACAAAGATGAGAAGATGAGAGCAACAGAATGTCCTATATCCTAATTCTCTGTGCTGACTTCGGAGTGGCCAATATGATAGAGATGGAAGGAACTCTGAAAACAAATTGCCAGAATTTCTAAGGAACAGGAGATGTTGAGTGAGTGAATCAAGCCATGGACTGGCTGTATGGGGGCAGCTATTAGAGACAACTACCCTTAGACTTCTTTGGTGATTGGTCAAGCTAATCTTTTCCTTCAGAGTCTCTCAATTATAAGACTTAGCTTGTGCCATTTAGAACAGACAAGAACACAGAGAATTATAGAACAATCTGACTACAGGTTCTCAAGTTATAGCAATGAAACTTGTAGTTGGCCGGCAGGAAAATATTCTGAGATGTGGATTCAAAGTTTCTAAGTGTGCACACGTACACACACACACACCCCTACCTGCATGCATTTTCTAATTTACAAAGACTACTCAAGTAAAGAGGGGTAATTTCACACCTCAGGAGGTCTGTATAAAGATAACTCTGGTCTTTAAAGCATCAGGTTTCAGGTAGAGGTGAAGAGAGAATGAATCAAACTCAAACTGCCATCCTCCCAGGTTAAAGATGAGTCCAGTCATCGTGGAGCCCTCTATTAACACAGGACATGCTAGGAAGGCCCATTAACCCACTGCCCTAGCACATTTGTTAACGTCCTAGTGCATTTGTTGATATCAACAGTTCACAGTTTTTATTCTGATAGGGATCTATTCCAGCAGACCAGCTTCTGTGACCTCTCAGGATGCGAAAAAGTAACACAAGAAAAGCTTCTTATGTAGTGAATTGAGAAGGAAATACCTAGATCAATATTCCCTCAGCACCTCTGGTAGGAAGTCCTTAGTAGGAGAAAAACACCATGAAGACCCTTAGTGCAGAAGGAAAAGGGGGTAGGGGGTGGTGGAAGGGAAGCTAAAAGAAGGGGCTGGAGGTTCTCAGAATTCAAACCACACAAACAAATGAAGTATTGAGGTCCCAGACTTGATCTGGGCCCAGTGTGAAAGCCCTAACTTATTTCTCCAGAAGAATATGTCCTCTGGTTTTAGACTTGGCACTGTGGGGAGAACCAGAGTGATCTATGGTGGATATACACACAAACATAGACACACATATTTGCATTTAGTAATTTTTGTAAAATTTCCATTTGCTTCTCTGATCCTGTCTGTATCTTTGGGAATAGATGTAAGAATATTACATCTCTCAGGCTTGCTCTGCCCCAGGTTTCTGAACGTGGAATACATTTCTCCAGTGAAACTCAGTATTATGAGATTTGGGAGGTGGAAGTTAGGCCACAGCCATCTCAGGGACAGGTTTCACAGACATGAGTTTTGGCAGCAGCCTTGTGTTCTAAAGACATTTACTCCTAGGGGCTCTAGAGGATCTGCAACATCAGCAGAAGCTTCCTGTGGGTTCCTGATCTTTTAAAATTAGGGGTCTGCAGTGACTTGTGCTCCTCCAGACCCCCTAACAGTTTTAAGGGCTAATTCCCTGTAATATATTCAGTTCTGCTTAGACTGATTACAGGGATTCCTATTTCTTGACTGAATTCTCATGGCTATAGTGGCTCGTCACCATTTGACATCACCAAGAAGTCCTCATTCAGGTGCCTTTGGAAATTCCCTCAAACACACAGGAAATTAGAGTTTGAAAGAAAACGGAGAACCATGAGCACTGTCCAAATAGGAACTTCTCTCCTATCACAGAGAAAGGGAACTGAAAGTCATTTCTCAAGTCTCCCAAATTTAGTAATCTCACAAGAAGAACCAATCAGTGTTCTAGGACTAAACAGTGTCATAAGTTGCTGAGCAACAACTTGGATTGAAGATGCTATTATAATATATGAAATGTCTTTGAATTTACCATGTTTTTCTCAAGCACCATTTAAGAACAAGGCATTATGGCAGCCAGCAAAGGGCAGACATAGAAAATTATACATGGTTTTGCCTCTAAAAGAGGAGATGACAAGCTTAAATCATAGGATCAGACTCTTAGCACAGACTGATACCATAGGCTCTCATCTGGCCCATTCTCCTGACTCTTTACCTTTCAGGAAAGGTATTCCTGAAAATTGCAGGAGAGACCATGCTGTAGGTCTCTTTCTAGCGATCTAGGAGTTAATGCCACAGTGTGTTCAAAGCCCTTTGATGCGATCAGATAATCAGTAATGTATGGAATATTTGTGTTCATAACTCGTGAGAACGGCTGCATGGCAGGACAAGACCCCAGCACAACAGTATGGAAAATCCACCCTAAGCAGACATGTCATGACTGATGTTGAACAATGGACTCACCAGCCAGGCACGGTGGCTCATGCCTGTAATCCCAGCACTTTGGGAGGCAGAAGCAGGCAGATCACGAGGTCAGGAGATCAAAACCATCCTGGTTAACATGGTGCAACCCCGTCTCTACTGAAAATACAAAAAAAAAAAAAAAAAAAAATTGGCCGGGCATGGTGGCGGGCGCCTGTAGTCCTAGCTACTCGGGAGGCTGAGGCAGGAGAATGGCGTGAACCCAGGAGGCAGAGCTTTCAGTGAGCCGAGATCGTGCCACTGCACTCCAGCCTGGGCGACAGAGCAAGACTTCCGTCTCGAAAACAAAACAACAACAAAAAAAACAATGGATTCACCATCCGATGGGCTCCCTCACTGCCAGGTCACTCTTCATGGAAGTATTTGTATTCCAGTCCTTTCTGTGGAAAGAACTTAACATTCTCCTTTTCATAACACTGTATCTTCAGAAACAAGAGAGTCGAAGTCTCCTAATTTTCAGGACTGTCTATGTTGAACATCAAAATATATTCTTTAGAGCAGATCTTTAATAATCATATGACAAGAGAAAAACTTTCATAATCTTATGACATGAGGGAAGGAATATTAAAGCCGTTCTGTGAGTTATTATCTCTAACGTTCCCAATAGAATAGGCTTTGCCAGCTGGGTGCGGTGGCTCATGCCTGTAATCCCAGCACTTTGCGAGGCCAAGGCGGGCAAATCACGAGGTCAGGAGTCTGAGACCAGCCTGACCAACATGGTGAAACCCCGTCTCTACTAAAAATACAAAAATTAGCCGGGCATGGTGGTGGGCGCCTGTAATCCCAGCTACTCAGGAGGCTGAGGCAGGAGAATCGCTTGAACCCGGGAGGCGGAGATTACAATGAGCTGAGATCACACCACCAACTCCAGCTTGGGCGACAGAGCAAGACTCTGTCTAAAAAAAAAAAAAAAAAAAAGAATAGGCTTTGCCCACTATACTCTCTCATATTCATTGACCTGAATCCTCAAATGAGGTGTGTCCATTAGTCAACTCCAATCTCTTGTCATATATAAGATGGTAGAGATGAGAAGAAGGTAGCTCCTTTACAGCCCACTATTTCCACTAACTACTACCTGTGTTTCAAGATACAGCCTTTCATCCTTCTCCAGTGTTGAGAGTGTTGAACCTCAGAGTTTCTCCTCTCATTTTCTCTAAATGAGATACAATGCCAGCCATCCCAAGCTCTTGGCCTGAGTTGATCATCTTGAAGTCTAGGACTCCAAGAAGCATGAAAGAGCTTCTTTAGTGAAGCTATGTCCTCAGTACTGCCAAAATTCAGACAATCTCCATGGCCTGACAATTTACCTTCTATTTGGGTAATTTATTGTCCCTTACGCAAACTCTCCAACTGTCATTGCACAGACATATGATCTGTATTTAGCTCTCACTTTAGGTGTTTCCATTGATTCTATTCTCACTAATGTGCTTCAGGTATATCCCTGTCTAGAAGTCAGATTGGGGTTAAAGAGTCTGTCCGTGATTGACTAACAGTCTTAAATACTTGATTTGTTGTTGTTGTTGTCCTGTTTGTTTAAGAACTTTACTTCTTTATCCAATGAACGGAGTATCTTGTGTCCTGGACCCTTTGCAAGAACCCTTCCCCTAGCAACAGATGCGTCATCTCAAAATATTTTTCTGATTGGCCAAAGAGTAATTGATTTGCATTTTAATGGTCAGACTCTATTACACCCCACATTCTCTTTTCTTTTATTCTTGTCTGTTCTGCCTCACTCCCGAGCTCTACTGACTCCCAAAAGAGCGCCCAAGAAGAAAATGGCCATAAGTGGAGTCCCTGTGCTAGGATTTTTCATCATAGCTGTGCTGATGAGCGCTCAGGAATCATGGGCTATCAAAGGTAGGTGCTGAGGGAATGAAATCTGGGACGATAGACTACGAAGCATTGGAGAAAAGACCTATGGACATTTGGAAGATAATGTGTGGAGTGAAAGAATAGTGTGACAGGTATTATGTGGTCTCGACAGAAAGTATAACAAATTGTGGTTTGGTGGAGTTCTTCCCTCACCACAAACTGAAGTAAGTCAAATTTGGTTTAGAGGGTCAAAACTGAGTTGTGTATTGATGAATAGCACGGTCCTGCTACAAGCCAAACTGGGGGTGGGGGTGGGGGTGGGGGAGGAAGAATATTTTCTGGCAAGCATTAACAAGTTATATTTCTGGGCTTTAATTATTCTTTCTGGAAAATTAGTAAAATTAAAAACTAAAAACCACACATAGTTTTGCTAGAATTAAATGAAAAAAAAAGTTATTAGCCCTGTTCTTATCTGAATACATGATACAGTAGTTATTTTTTGGAGTGTAAATCCTGTCGGTATATATTGAGCACATATATTGTGTTGAAGATTACTAGAAGGAAAAGTCATCAAAAAGCAACAATTTACCCCAGGAAAAGGGGAGGGAAGGCATGCTGATATGAGTTGCCTCATGGGACAGTGATAGCCATTCCCTGCCTTCCCATCTCCATGGTACAGCAGATCTTATATCATGTTAACTTAGTAATATTTCCAAGAGAGTAGAAAAATAAGTAAGGAAATGGGGAATCTGATATTATTGTCTCTCATCTCCAGAGCAACATTGGTGCTGTTGTAAAGATGTACTGTAGAAAAGTATTCTTCACCCAGCGTGACCCCCACAGAAGGTGTCAGGTAGACTTGAAATAAGCAAAGTAATAACCCAGCTCCCATACCCATAGTGGCAATTGTAGATTTCTATTGCCCCAAAAGAGCCATACATAGGGATACTTACCTAGAAAGACAGAGGATCTTCCCTTGGTTTGTGAAGAGGCAGCTAGTATATTTGTGTGTGTTTGCATAGATGCAAACGGTAAATAAATTCCTAGGTTTATCAATACACAGTCAAACATTAAAATCTCTCATCTTGGCTGGGCACGGTGGCTCACGCCTGTAATCCCAGCACTTTGGGAGGCCGAGGCGGGCGGATCACGAGGTCAAGAGATCGAGACCGTCCTGGGCAACATGGTGAAACCCCGTCTCTACTAAAAATACAAAAAATTAGCTGGGTATGGTGGCACACGCCTGTAGTCCCAGCTACTCGGGAGGCTGAGGCAGGAGGATTGCTTGAGCCCGGGAGGCGGAGGTTGCAGTGAGCTGAGATGGTGCCACTGCACTCCAGCCTGGCGATAGAGCAAGACTCCGTCTCAAACAACCAAACCAAAACAAAACAAAATATCTCACCTTATCTTTGAAGACTAAGGAAAAAAAAAATCTCCCACTCATCGATACACTCCACAGAGGCAGCATACTCTCCCAGTGTAGCTTTCTCTTTTCATGTTCATTATTCCCTTGGTGTTGGTTATTCTCAATGTCAATCGTAACAGAACATCTTCCATAATAACAGTCCCAATTTAAGGAGCATTAAGATAAAAGGTGGAATTGCCAAGGTCAATCCAGACGAGAACCTTCTCATAGAGGTAACCACCGTGTGGGTTTGGATGCTGGGAAGCAGGGGGACTATGACGCTACAAGGTCTCAGTCTTAATTTTTGGAGTACTTCAGTCCCCAGGTATATTTTCCATAGATTTGGCCCTTAAATAAAAAGAAGCTTCTGACTCTAAAATGTAAACAGTGCTTGTTACAGTCTTGTTGATATATTAAGAAATTACTCACCTTATCTCATTTAATCTTAAAAACAAACCCCTGACAGGATCAAAACCACAGCAGGACTACATAATAGGAAAACTATACATAAATAGGTAGAATAATCTGCTCAGGATCACTAGGTAAGTTGCTGAATAAGAATTCAAGATGTTTTTGATCCCAGAGTTTAAAACCCAACCTTTCAAACAGTGTTTCCTTCTTCTTAGAGTACAATGTTCTGAGAAAGAGATCCTCTGGAATTCTGGCCTAAGTGTATTTAATGCCCGGGTAAAGAAAGTGAGAGAACATTTCTCTTTAGGGGCTGCTGCTGGATTTCTAAAAAGAAAATAATTTCTCAGCTAGTAACATGGAGCCAAACAACAGCTTCACAAGACTCTGGGTTCTTTAGCCCTCATCTCCTTCAATCCACCCTCTTTATAACCAGTCCTTCTTGTTTTTCCCCTCCCAGCTTTGTTCAGCAGCATGCCCTTCACCCAGACCTTGTCTTGTCACTCATCCCTACTCGCCATCATTCTTTCATTCCTCTTGGCCCAATCTCTCTCCACCACTTCCTGCCTACATGTATGTAGGTTATTCATTTCCCTCTCTTGATTCCCCCCACCCAACTCTCTTTCTCCATTTCTTGCCTTTCAGAAGAACATGTGATCATCCAGGCCGAGTTCTATCTGAATCCTGACCAATCAGGCGAGTTTATGTTTGACTTTGATGGTGATGAGATTTTCCATGTGGATATGGCAAAGAAGGAGACGGTCTGGCGGCTTGAAGAATTTGGACGATTTGCCAGCTTTGAGGCTCAAGGTGCATTGGCCAACATAGCTGTGGACAAAGCCAACCTGGAAATCATGACAAAGCGCTCCAACTATACTCCGATCACCAATGGTACCTCCCTCTCTGCTGCACTCCTGGACATGGGAATCCATAGTTTGAAAGTAGTTGCTTCAGCTCTTTGTGTTAGATTATTGTAACTGATTTTCCCTCCAAGGGCCTAACCTTGCCATTAACAAGCCCCAAATTCTCATGCCAGAGGTCTGAGAACTTTATGGGTTTGATCCTATCTTGTTGTGCTCAAGTCTTGTCTCTGTCATCCATGGTCTCCTACGAAGTCATTGCCCTAAGTTCATGCTAGGGGAGCCAGAAGGGAAGTCCTTGGATATCTTATACCTCAATATTGGCTCAATTTCTTGGGGAGGGGGTGCTGTCAGAGATTGTTATCTGAGGATGTGACATAGATTTCTCAGGGCACAATTTCAACTACTTTTTCAGCTTTAGGGTTTTTAGATACGTTTGTACCACAATTGAGCATGGGAGGGAGAGGGGTGAGCCTAAGCAGTGATGGCTGATTTCTGTCACGTCTGTCATGTGTCCCCCAGTACCTCCAGAGGTAACTGTGCTCACGAACAGCCCTGTGGAACTGAGAGAGCCCAACGTCCTCATCTGTTTCATCGACAAGTTCACCCCACCAGTGGTCAATGTCACGTGGCTTCGAAATGGAAAACCTGTCACCACAGGAGTGTCAGAGACAGTCTTCCTGCCCAGGGAAGACCACCTTTTCCGCAAGTTCCACTATCTCCCCTTCCTGCCCTCAACTGAGGACGTTTACGACTGCAGGGTGGAGCACTGGGGCTTGGATGAGCCTCTTCTCAAGCACTGGGGTATGGACCAACACTCAATCTCCTTTATTTCAAGGTTTCCTCCTATGATGCTTGTGTGAAACTCGGTGTTCTAACTGTTTCATAATATCTGCTACAATTAATATAACTGTCTTCTCCTACTATCCAGCTTCCTCCTTTTTTTAATCTGTAATTCTCTCAATACATCATTCTGTCTTCCTCTTCTTTAATCTATGAATAACTTTTCTCTTTATTAAGAACCCTACATTTGATTCTGAGTGTTACTTCTTCCCACACTCATTACCATGTACTCTGCCTTATCTCCCCCCAGAGTTTGATGCTCCAAGCCCTCTCCCAGAGACTACAGAGAACGTGGTGTGTGCCCTGGGCCTGACTGTGGGTCTGGTGGGCATCATTATTGGGACCATCTTCATCATCAAGGGAGTGCGCAAAAGCAATGCAGCAGAACGCAGGGGGCCTCTGTAAGGCACATGGAGGTGAGTTAGGTGTGGTCAGAGGAAGACATATATGGAGATATCTGAGGGAGGAAAACAGGGTGGGGAAAGGAAATGTAATGCATTTAAGAGACAAGGTAGGAACAGATGTGGCTCTTGATTTCTCTTTGCTAGAATGAATCAGACATTGGTATCATCTGGTATCCCAAAGCTTCAGGGTCTGTCATCCCTTTCTATAGACGGGCACCTTGATCACGGCTCCAGTCTTAGAAATCATCTCCAGTACCTAAAACCATTGTTTCACATTAGAATACTGAGTCTAGGGATCTAGAAAATACATTAGAATATGGAGTCTAGGGATCTAGAAAATACTGAGTCTAGGGATCTAGAAAAATAAGCCTCAAGATTTGGGCACATCCTAGCTTGTATTTCCTGGGGCAGGTCATCAGTTCAGAAGCATTTCCAGATCCTGGCTCCTTTCAGGTTAGGGTCAATTCATTGCATGAAATGGGAATCTCTTAGAGGCCAATGCCTGCTTTTGCTTCTTTAGTCTCAAATGTAGTATGAGAAACTCTAAAAAAAGGTAAAGCATGGTTGCTTATTATGTTCAGTTGGAGAGTAGGAACTAACTGTATACAGTTAGTTCATGTTGGAAAGGTTAGATGAACATTGAAAGAATTTTGCAAAGTCAAAGGATTAAGAGAGAAGAGGAAGGAATCTGAAGCAAGGAGCTCAAAACGG
Organism: Homo sapiens; assembly: GCF_000001405.40. Lineage (NCBI taxonomy): Eukaryota > Metazoa > Chordata > Mammalia > Primates > Hominidae > Homo > Homo sapiens. The sequence goes on from NT_167247.2 coordinate 3,785,585, forward strand.
ATCTTAAATTCCTTGGTAACTATGTGTGTCTTGCTATAGGTGATGGTGTTTCTTAGAGAGAAGATCACTGAAGAAACTTCTGCTTTAATGACTTTACAAAGCTGGCAATATTACAATCCTTGACCTCAGTGAAAGCAGTCATCTTCAGCGTTTTCCAGCCCTATAGCCACCCCAAGTGTGGTTATGCCTCCTCGATTGCTCCGTACTCTAACATCTAGCTGGCTTCCCTGTCTATTGCCTTTTCCTGTATCTATTTTCCTCTATTTCCTATCATTTTATTATCACCATGCAATGCCTCTGGAATAAAACATACAGGAGTCTGTCTCTGCTATGGAATGCCCCATGGGGCATCTCTTGTGTACTTATTGTTTAAGGTTTCCTCAAACTGTGATTTTTCTGAACACAATAAACTATTTTGATGATCTTGGGTGGAATTTTTGGTGTTTAAGCCAGTTCTTTGGGTGGCGGTGGGGGGTGGGGAGTCGGTCCTGGGGAATATATGTGATCCTTTCCCGGTAAAATATCTGAATGTTGAATTTATCTTATAAATTCTAGAATTCATCAGACATATCCCGGTTCATTTGGGCTTGGTCTCATTTTGTGCATCTGCAGGCAACCCTCTTGTTGTGGTCTAGTCCTCATCAGGAAAACCTAAAGTGGGGTTGGTTTGTTGGGAGATCTCTACTGAGCAATGATATAACTCTGTCTTCAGTAGAGTGAATCTGAAACCCCAAGGTATGGATCTCAGAATGCATGGGATAGAGGGGAGCAGATGGGGTTAGAGTGGGGAGAAGGAAGACAGAAGAATCCATAAACATTGCAGGATTTACATATCAACATCGTTCATTCCAGATTTAATGAGCAAAGAGGTTGGACACTGAAGACTGGCCTTACCCATTCTGTTAGACATAGTCTCAGATGCCTATTTTATTACCGAGAGAGTAGTCTGACTGATTCTTGAAACCACCTTATATTTGAAGATGTGTCTTTGAGTGGAAAAGCTGAGTGAAATTTGGGGTTGGGGAGAAAGATATGACATTAAGATGAGAGGAAGGAATATTTGAAACACAATGAACTGTTGCTCATTTGTCTATAAAACTATGACTTGATATTTATCTCTAAAATAGTTTCTAGAACCTGCCATAAACCACTAAGATAAACTATTCATGATAGTGTGGTAGACTGCAAATAAATGCTGTTGAAATGAGTTAGGCTTGGGTTTCATCTTGGCTGTATCATTTACTAGCTATGTTTTCACTGGTATCTTACTTAACTTAGCCTCACATTACTCATGAAAATACTGGTGTTAATTTTTACTACATTGAATTAATATCAGAATTAAAAGGAAAACGCAAGCAAAGTAATTAGATACATGCTTAGTGATAATAAAATATTGCAAAAAATTATACATTCTGTTGTTTTTCTCAAAATTTCTATAGACTGATGATAAAAATCTAAGAGAAGCTAAACAAAACAAGGATAAACCAAAGCATCATGACATTCTAAGCCTTACTAATAAATAAGAAGTTTCTCGGCTGGGCACGGTGGCTCACGCCTGTAATCCAGCACTTTGGGAGGCCGAGGTGGGCGGATCACAAGGTCAGGAAATCAAGACCATCCTGGCCAACATGGTGAAACCCCATCTCTACTAAAAATACAAAAATTAGCCAGGCGTGGTGATAGGCGCCTGTAATCCCAGCTACTCTGGAGGTTGAGGCAGGAGAATCTCTTGAATCCGGGAGGCAGAGGTTGCAGTGAGCCGAGATCGCACCACTGCGCTCCTGCCTGGCAACAGACTGAGACTCCGTCTCAAAAAAAAAAAAAAAAAAAGTTTCTCTACTGTTGGTTCAGAGAATCAAAGCAGAATCTTGAGACTACTGATGGTAGAATAGGTACGAGTGTCTTTCTTACATGACTACAAACTTTATTATAAAATAAATAGCTTAACACAGAGAATACACTAAAACTTAGACAAGCATGGATTAAGAAAGCAAAAAGTAAACCCATATACTACCATGTAAGAAAACCATTTTTGGCCAGGTGCGGTGGCTCACGCCTGTAATCCCAGCACTTTGGGAGGCCGAGGCGGGCGGATCACGAGGTCAGGAGATCGAGACCATCCTGGCTAACATGGTGAAACCCCGTCTCTACTAAAAAAAAAAAAAACAAAAAATTAGCCGGGTGTGGTGGCGGGTGCCTGTAGTCCCAGCTACTCGAGAAGTTGAGGCAGGAAAATGGCGTGAACCCAAGAGGCAGAGCTTGCAGTAAGCCGAGATCACACCACTGCACTCCAGCCTGGGCGACAGAGCGAGACTCCATCTCAAAAAAAAGAAAAAAAAAAAAAAAAAAAGGAAAACCATTTTAATAGACTTTTATTTTTAGAGCTGTTTTAAGCTAACAGAAAAATTGCAGAAATTGTATACAGAGCTCCCCCACCCCCAGTTTCTACAATGCTTAACATCCTGTATTAATGTGGTACACTTGTTACAATTGATGAACCAATACTAATAATTATTATTAACTAAAATTCATAGTTATACGAGGGTTCACTCTGTATTACACAGTTATATGGGTTCTGACAAATACATAATATCATATATCCACCATTACAGGATTAAACAAAATAGCTTCACTGATCTAAAAATGACCCAGGCTCCATCTACTCATCCTTCCTTCCTCCCTCTGAGCCATTGGCATTCTCTGAGCTATTTACTAGTGTTTTGCCTTTTTCAGAATGTCACATACTTGTAATCATACAGCATAGAGCTTTTTCAGATGAGATTCTTTTGCTTAGCCATATGCATACAGGTTTCCTGCGTATATTGTCATAGCTTGATAGCTTATTTTTCTTTAATGTTAAATAATACTCCATTGTATAAATGTACTATGGTTTATTTACCCATTAATCTATTGAAGGACATCTTGGTTGCTTCTAATTTTTGGCAATTATGAATAAAGCTGCTATAAACATCCATGAACAGATGTTTGTGCAAACACAAGTTTTCCACTTTGGATAAATACATAGAAGTGCAATTGCTGGATCATATGGTAAGAGTATGTTTAACTTTGTTAGAAACAACTAGAATATCTTCCAAAATGGCTGTATCATTTTGCATTCCTACCAGCAATGAATGAGAGTCCCTGTTTTTCTATATCCTTGCCAGCATTTGGTATTCTGGGGTTTGGGATTTAAGCAAGAAAGCCATTTTAATATTTTTTTATTTTAAAATAATTATAGATTCAGGGGAAATTGCAAAGACAGTATAGAGACATTCTGCATACGCCTTCACCCAGTTTCTCCAAATGTTTATATTTTAAGTAATTATAGCACAGTAGCAAAACCAAGAAAATACCTTGATACAATGTGTATGTATAGTTTTATGCATATGTCTTATCACATTTGTAGATTCATGTAACCACCACCACAATCAAGCACAGAGCTATTCCATATCACAGAGATCTTCATCATGCTTCCCTTTATAGCCAAATTCCCCCCACACAATCACCTTAACAACTTAAAACCACTAATTTCTTTGCTATTAATCTCTAGAATAGTGTCATTTTGAAAATACTAGTTAAATGGAATCATGCAGTATGTGACTGGTGTTTTTCACTTAGCATAATACCCATGAGATCCATCCAAGCTGCTGCATATATCAACAATCTTTTTTTTTTTTTTATTGCTAAGTAGTATTCCATGGTCTAAATGCAGCACAGTTTGCTTAACTATTTGCCTATTGAAGGACATTTTGGCTGTTTCTAGTTTGGGGTCACTATAAATAAGGCTGTTTTGAACATGTGTTTAAGGTTTTTCTATGAGCATGAGTTCATGAGTTTTCATTTCTCTGGTATAAATGTCTGGGATATAATTCATGGGCATATGGAAATATATGTTTAGTTTTTCAAGAAACTGCCAAACTTAGCCAAGTATGATGATGATGGCTTATACCTGTAATCCCAGCACTTTGGGAGGCCAAGGAGGAAGGATAAATTGAGGCCAGGAATTTGAGGCCAGCCCCAGCGTCTACACTTTTTTTTTTTTTTTTTGAGACAGAGTCTCGCTCTGTTGCCAGACTGGAGTGCCGTCATGCGATCTCGGCTCACTGCAACCTCCGCCTCCCAGGTTCAAGCAATTCTTCTGCCTCAGCCTCTCGAGTAGCTGAGACTACAGGTGCACACCACCACGCCCAATTAATTTTTGTATTTTTAGTAGAGACAGGGTTTCACCATGTTGGCCAGGATGGTCTTGACCTCATGACCTCGTGATCCGCTTGCCTTGGCCTCCCAAAGTGCTGAGATTACAGGCATGAGCCACCGTGCCCGGCCAAATGTTTTGTTTTGTTTTTGTTTTTTGTTTTTTGTCAGGTGGATGAGGTGGCATGCCCCTATAGTCACAGCTACTTGGGAGGCTGAGGTGGGAGGATTGCTTGAGCCCAGGAATTTGAGGCTGCAGTGAGCCACTGCACTTCAGCCTATCTGACAGAGCAAGATCCTGTCTCCAAAAGGAAGGAAGGGAGGGAAGAAGCAAGGAAGGAAGGAAGGAAGGAAGGAGAAAAAAGAAGGGAGGGAGGGAGGAAGGAAGAAAGGAAAGATGGAAGAAAGGAAGGAAGGGAGGGAGGAGAAAGAGAAAGAAAAAGAAGGAAGGAAGAAGGGAAGGAGGGAGGGAAGGGAGGAAGGGAGGGAGGGTGAAAGGAAGGAAAGAAGGAAGGAAGGAGAAAGAAAAGGAAGAGAGAAAGAGAAAGAAAAAAGAAAGAAAGAAAGAGAGAGAAGGAAAGGAAAGAAAGAAGGAAAGGAAAGAAAGAAAAAGAAAAAGGAAGGAAGGAAAGAAGGAAGGAAGGAAGAAAGAAAAAGAAAGAAGGAAGGAAAGAAAGAAAGAAAGAGAAAGAAAGAAACCGATAAACTATTCTCTAATTGCTTTGTGGGAGTATGGCCACTTTCATCATATTGATTTTTCCTTTTTTTTTTTTTTTTTTTTTTTTTTTTTGCGATAGAGTCTGGCTCTGTCGCCCAGGCTGGAGTGCAATGGCGTGATTTCGGCTCACTGAAACCTCTGCCTCCTGGGTTCAGGTGATTCTCCTGCCTCAGCCTCCCTAGTAGCTGGGATTACAGGTGCACACCATCACGCCTGGATAATTTTTTTGTATTTTTACTAGAGATGGGGTTTCACCATGTTGGCCAGGTTGGTCTCAAATTCCTGACCTCAGGTGATTTGCCTGCCTTGGCCTCCGGAAGTGCTAGGATTACAGATGTGAGCCACCGCGCCCAGACAATATTGATTCTTCCTTTTCCATGAACATGATATTTTTTTCCATTTATTTGTGTCATCTCTGAGTTCTTTGAGCAGTGGTTTGTAGTTTTCCTTGTAGAGATCTTTCTCCTCCCTAGTTAGCTGTATTCCTAGGTATTTCGTGTGTGTGTGGCAATCGTGAATGGGATTACGTTCCTGATTTGGCTCTCAGCTTGACTGTTGTGGTGTATAGGAATGTTAGTAATTTTTCCACATTAATTTTGAATGCCAAGACTTTGCTGAAGTTGTTCATTAGCTTAAAGAGCTTTTGGGCTGAGACTATGGGGTTTTCTTGATATAGGATCATGCCATCTGCAAATAGGCATAGTTCAATTTCCTCTCTTCCTGTTTGGATGCCTTTAATTCTTTTTCTTGCTTGTTGCCCTGGCCAAGACTTCCAATACTATGTTGGATAGGAGTAGTGAGAGAGGGTATCCTTGTCTTGCGCTGGTTTTCAAGGGGAATGCTTCTAGCTTTTTCCCATTTAGTATGGTATTAGCTGTGGGGTTGTCACAGAAGGCTCTTATTATTTTAAGTTATGTTCACTTACTACTCAGTTTATTAAGAGTTTTTAACATGAAGGGATATTGAATTTTATCAAAAACCATTCCTGCATCTATTGAGCTAATCATGTGGTTTCTGTCTTTAGTACTGCTTATGTAATGAATCAAATTTATTGATTTGCATATGTTGAACTAACCTTGCATCACCAAGATAAAGCATACTTGATCATTGTAGATTAGCTTTTTAATGTACTGCTGGATTCAGTTTGCCAGTATTTCGTGGAGGATTTTTGCATCAATCTTCATCAATAATATTTGCCTGAAGTTTTCTTTTGTGTGTGTGTCTGCCAGGTTTTGGTGCTGATCCTGATGATGCTGGCCTCATAGAATGAGTTAGAGAGGTATCCCTCTTCCTCAATTTTTTGGAATAATTATAACAGGAATGGTACCAGCTCTTCTTTGTACATCAGGCAGAATTCAGCTGTGAATTATTCTAGTCCTAGGGGTTTTTTTTGTTTGGTAGTCTACTTATTACTGATTTAATTTCTGAGATCATTATCAGTCTGTTCAGGGATTGAATTTCTTCCTGGTTCTGTCTTGGGAGGGTGTACGTGTCCAGAAATTTATCAATTTCTTCTAGTTTTCCTAGTTTATGTGCATAGAGGTGTTTTTAATATTCTCTGATGGTTATTTGTGTTTCTGTGGGGTCAGTGGTAATATCCCCATTGTAATTTCTGAGCGTGATTATTTGAATCTTCTCTCTTTTCTTCTTTATTAGTCTAACTAGAGGTCTTTTTTTTTATTAATTTTTTTTTAGGAAACCAATTCCTGGACTCATTGATCTTTTGAGTGTTGTTTTTTTTTCTGTCTCAATCTCCTTTAGTTCAGCTCTGATTTTGGTTATTTCTTGTCTTCTGCTAGCCTTGATATTGGTTTGTACCTGGTTGACCAGTTCTTTTAGTTGTGATGTTAGGTTGTTAAATTGAGGTCTTTCTAACTTTTTCATGTGGGTATTTGATGCATAAATTTCCCACTTAACACTGCCTTAGCTGTGTCCCAGAGATTCTGGTATGTTGTATCGTTGTTCTCATCAGTTTTAAAGAACTTCTCAATTTCTTCCTTAATTTCATTATTTACACAAAAGTCATTCAGGAGCAGGCGGTTCAACTTCCATGTAATTGTAGGGTTTTGAATGAATTTCTTAGTCTTAATTTCTAATTTGATTGCACTGTTGTCTGAAAGATTGTTTTTTATGATTTCAGTTCTTTTGCATTTGCTGAGGAGTATTTGACTTCCGATTATGTGATCAATTTTAGAGTACATGCCATGTGGTGATGAGAAGAATGTGTATACTGTTGTTTTGGTGTGGATAATTCTATAGATGTCTATCAGGTCCATTTGATTCAGTGCTGAGTTCAAGTCCTGAATATCTTTGTTAATTTTTTGTCTCGATGATCTGTCTAATATTATCAGTGAGTTGTTAACATCTCCAAGTATTATTGTGTTGGAGTCTAAGTCTCTTTGAAGGTCCCTAAGAACTTGCTTTATGAATCTGGGTGTTCCTGTGTTGGGTGCTGATCTGGTTTGGCTGTGTTCCCATTCAAATCTCACCTTGAATTGTAGCTCCCCCAATTCTCACATGCCACGGGAGGCACCTGGTGGGAGGTAATTGAATCATGGGGGCGGGTCTTTCCCATGCTATTCTCATCATAGTGAATAAGTCTCATGAGATCTGATAGTTTTATAAAGAGGAGTTTCCCTGCACAAGTTCTCTTGTCTTGTCTGCCACCATGTGAGATGTGATTTTCACCTTCCATCATGATTGTGAGGCATCCCTAGCCATGTGGAACTGTCAGTCCATTAAATTTCTTTCTTTTGTAAATTGCCCAGTCTCAGGTATATCTTTGTCAGCAGCATAACAGACTAATAGAGGAGAGTGGAGCACTGCTGAAAAGATACCTGAAAATGTGGAAGTGACTTTGGAACTGGGTAACAGGCAGAGGTTGGAACAGTTTGGAGGGCTCAGAAGAAGATAGGAAAATGTGGGAAATTTTGGAACTTCCTAGAGACTTGTTGAATGCCTTTGCCCAAATTGCTGATGGTGATGTGGACAATAACGTCCAGGCTAAGGTAGTCTCAGATGGAAATGAGGAACTTGTTGGGAACTGGAGCAAAGGTGACTCATTATGCTTTAGCAAAGAGACTGGTGACATTTTGCCCCTGTCCTAGAGATTTGTGGAACTTTGAACTTGAGAGAGATGATTTAGGGTATCTGGCAGAAGATATTTCTAAGCAGCAAAGCATTCAAGAGGTTACTTGCGTGCTGTTAAAGCCATTCAGTTTTATAAGGGAAGCAGAGCATAAATGTTTGGAAAATTTGCAGCCTGACAATGCAATAGAAAAGAAAATCCAATTTTCTGAGGATAAATTCAAGCCGGCTGCAGAAATTTCATGGGTAACGAGGAGCTGAATGTTAATTATTAAGACAATGGGGAAAATGTCTCCAAGGCATATCAGAGGTTTTTTTTTTTTTTTTCCAGAGTCTCGCTCTGTCGCCCAGGCTGGAGTGCAGTGGCATGATCTCGGTTCACTGCAAGCTCTGCCTGCCGGGTTCATGCCATTCTCCTGCCTCAGCCTTCCAAGTAGCTGGGACTACAGGCATCCGCCACCACACCTGGCTAATTTTTTGTATTTTTAGTAGAGACGGGGTTTCACCATGTTAGCCAGGATGGTCTCGATCTCCTGACCTCATGATCCACCCACCTCGGCCTCCCAAAGTGCTGGGATTACAGGCGTGAGCCACCATGCCTGGCCATGTCAGAGGTCTTGATGGCAGCCCTGCCCATCACAGGCCTGGAGGCCTAGGAGGAAAGAGTGGTTTCTTGGGCTGGGCCCAGTGTCCCCGTGCTGTATGCGGTCTTTGGACTTGGTGCCCTGTGTCTCAGCCGCTCCAGCTGTGACTAAAAGGGGCCAACATAGAGCTCAGGCCACGGCTTCAGAGGATGCAAGCCCCAAGCCTTGGCAGCTTCCATGTGGTGTTGAGCCTACAGGTACACAGAAGTCAAGAGTTGAGGTTTGGGAACCTCCACCTAGATTTCAGAGGATGTATGGAAATGCCTGGATGTCCAGGCAGAAGTTTGCTGCCTGGGCAGGGCACTCATGTGGAACCTCTGCTAGGGCAGTGCAGAAGGGAAATGTGGAGTGGGCACCCTCACACAGAGTTCTCAATGGGGCAGTGCCTAGTGGAGTTTTGAAAAGAGGAACACCATCCTCCAGACTCCAGAGTGATGGATCCACTGACAGCTTGCATCATGCACTGGAAAAGCTGCAGACACTCAATGCCAGCCCATGAAAGCAGCTTGGAGGGAGGCTATATCCTGCAAAGCCACAGGGGCGGAGCTGCTCAAGACCAGGGGAACCCACCTCTTGTATCAGTGTGACCTGGATGTGAGATACGGAATCAAAGGAGGTCATTTTTTGGAGTTTAAGATTTAAGTGCTCTGCTGGATTTCAGAGTTGCATGGAGCCTTTAAGTCCCTTCATTTTGGCCAGTTTCTTCCATTTGGAATGGGTACATTTATTCAATGCCTGTACCCTCATTGTGTCTAAGAAGTAACTAGCTTGCTTTTGATTTTACAGGCTCATAGGCAGAAGGGACTTGCCTTGTCTCAGATGAGAATTTGGACTGTGGATTTTGAGTTAATGTAGAAATAAGACTTTGGGGTACTCTTGAGAAGGCATGATTGGTTTGAAATATGAGGGCATGAGATTTGGGAGGGGCCGGTGGTGGAATGATATGGTTTGGCCCTGTCCCCACCCAAATCTCACCTTGAATTGTAGGTCCCATAATACCCACATGTTGTGGGAGGGACCTGGTGGGAGGTAATTTAATCATGGGGTAGGTCTTTCCCGTACTATTCTTGTGATAGTGAATAAGTCTCATGAGATTTGATGGTTTTATGAAGGGGAGTTTCCCTGCCCAAGTCCTCTTCTCTTGTCTGCTGCCATGTGAGATGTGCTTTTCACCTTCCACCATGATTGTGAGGCCTCCCCAGCCATGTGGAACTGCGAGTCCATTAAACCTCCTTCTTTTGTAAATTGCCCAATCTCAAGTATGCCTTTATTAGCAGCATGATAATGGACTAATATAAATGAATATATATTTAAGAAATGGATAAATTCCTGGACACATACACCCTCTCAAGACTGAACCAGGAAGAAACTGAATTCCTAAACAGACCAATAATGAGTTCTGAAATTGAGTCAGTAATAAAAAGCCTACCAACCAAAAAAAGCCTGGGACCAGATGGATTCACAGCTGAATTCTACCAGATGGATAAAGAAGACCTGGTCCTATTCCTATTAAAATTATTCCAAAAAAATTGAGGAGAAGGGATTACTCCCCAATTCATTCTGAGGCCAGCATCATCCTGATACCAAAACCGGGCAGAAACAACAAAAAAAGAAAATTTCAGGCCAATATTCTTGATGAACATAGATGCAAATATCCTTAACAAAATACTAACAAACCAAATCAAGCAGCACATCAAAAGCTAATGTACCACGATCAAGTAGATTTTACCCCTGAGATGCAAGGTTAGTTCAACATATACAAATCAACAAATGTGATCCATCACATAAAGCAGAATGAAAGGCAACAACCACCTGATCATCTCAATAGATGTGGAAAAGGCTTTTGATAAAATTCAACAGCACTTCATGTTAAAAATGCTCAGTTCACGCCTGTAATCCCAGCACTTTGGGAGGCTGAGGTGGGCAGATCACAAGGTCAGGAGATTGAGACCATCCTGGCCAACATGGTGAAACCTTGTCTCTACTAAAAATGAAAACTTAGCTGGGCATGGTGGCATGCGCCTGTAGTCGCAGCTACTCAGGAGGCTGAAGCAGGAGAATCGCTTGAACCCAGAAGGCGGAGGTTGCAGTGAGCCAAGATCCCGCCACTGCACTCCAGCCTGACAACAGAGAAAGACTCCATCTTAAAAAAAAAAAAAAACCTCAGTAAACTAGGCATTGGAGGAACATACTTCAAAATAATAAGAGCCATCAATGACAAAGCCACAGCCAACAACATAGTGAATGGGCAAAAGCTGGAAGCATCACTCTTGAAAATCAGCAGGAGACAAGGATGCCCTCTCTCACCACTGTTTTTTTTTTTTTTTTGGAGACAGAGTCTTGCTCTGTTGCCAGGCTGGAGTAGTGCAGTGGCGCGATCTCAGCTCACTGCAATCTCCGCTTCCCAGGTTGAAGCAATTCTCCTGCCTCAGCCTCCCAAGTAGCTGGGACTACAGGCACATGCCACCACGCCTGGCATTTTTTTTTTTTTTTTTTTTTTTAGTAGAGACCAGGTTTCATCATGTTAGCCAGGATGGTGTTGATATCCTCACCTCGTGATCCACCCACCTCAGCCTCCTAAAGCACTGGGATTACAGGTGTAAGCCACTGTGCCCGGCCCTCCCTCACCATTCTTATTCAAGATAGTATTGGAAGTCCTGACCAGAACATCAGGCCAGAGAAAGAAATAAAGGGCATTCAAAGAGGAAGAGTGGAAGTCAAACTATCCCTGTTTGCAGATGATATGATCCTGTGTCTAGAAAACCCTAAATCTCCAAATCTTGGCCCAAAAGTTCCTTTAGCTGATAAACAACTTCAGCAAAGTTTCAGGATAAAAAAAATCAACATATAAAAATCAGCAGCATTCCTATACACAAAGAACACTCAAGCTGAGACCCATATCAAGAACATAATCCCACTCACAATTTCCACACACACACATATTACCTAAGAATACAGCTAACTATGGAGATGAAAGATCTCTACAAGAAGAACTACAAAACACTGCTCAGAGAAATCAGAGATGACACAAACAAATGGAAAAAATTATCATTCTCATGGATAGGAAGACTCAATATCATTAAAATGGCCATACTGCCCAAAGTAATTTATAGATTCAATGCTATTCCCATTAAACTACCACTGACAGTCTTCACAGAACTAGAACAAACTATTTTAAAATTCATATGGAAGCAAAACAGAGCCTAAATAGCTAAGGCAATCCTAAGCAAAAGAATAAAGTAAGAGTTACTATGTTGCTCAACTTCAAACTATACTATGAGGCCACAGTAACCAAAACAGCATGGTACTGGTACAAAAGCAGACACACAGACAAATGGAACAGAATAGAGAGTCCAGAAATAATGCTGTACAACTCCAACCATCTGATCTTTGACAAAGATGACAAAAACAAGCAATGAGGAAAGGACTCCTCATTCAATAAACGGTGCTGTACTAACTGGCTAGCCATATGCAGAAGACTGAAGCTGGACTGCTACCTTACACCATATACAAAAATCAACTTAAAATGAATTAATGACTTAAATGTAAAACCTAAAATCATAAAAACCCTGGAAAGTAACCTAGAATATACCATTCTGAACATAGGACTTGGCAAAGATTTCATGGCAAAGACACCAAAAGCAATCACAACAAAAACAAAAATTGACAAATGGGACCTAATTTAACTTAAGAGCTTCTGTGCAGTAAAAGAAACTATCGACAGAGTAAATAGAAAACCTAGAGAATGGAGAAAATGTCAAGTCCTAATTCGGGAAAAGGAGTCAGGCTGGTGGGACCAGAAGAAAGCAAAGAGGTAAAACAAATAAGCTGTAAGTCTGTCTTTCCTCATGGTCCAGAACACACAGCCCTCCTGTGCAAATAACTCACAGTCTTCCCGTGCCCAACTATCATCAGACATCTATAAACTAGCTCACTGCAACCCTGGCATTGTTGCTACTGCACATAGCACTCTGCAGCCTAAGAACCATCCTATAAAATCTCCTGCAAGCCTTTGTTTCCGTGCAGTCAGCTTCTCTTCTGCTGGCCTGCCTGCCTGTTGCCTCCTTGCAACATATTTTCCTACTTTCTCTAATAAATCTGCTTTTTTTTTCTACCTACAACTGTCTTGGTAAATTCTTTTACCCTGGCGCCACTGGCCCAGATAGTTATTGCTCACCTGCAACAGAAAATATTTGCAAACTATGCATCTGACAAAGGTCTAATATCCAGAATCTATAAGGAACTTAAACAAATTTACAAGAAAAAAACCAAACAACCTCATTAAAATATGGGCATGAACAGACATGAACAGACACTTTTCAAAAGAAGACATACATGCAGCCAACAAACATAGGAAAAAATTCTCAACAGCACTAATTATTAGAGATATGCAAGTCAAAATCACAATAAGATACCATCTCATACCAGTGTGAATGGCTACTATTAAAAAGTCAAAAAATAACAGATGCTGGTGAGGTTGCAAGGAAAGAGAATGCTTATACACTGCTAATAGAAATGTAAATTAGTTCAGCCATTGTGGAAAGCAGTGGGGTGCAAAGAACTAAAAAGAAAATTACCATTTGATTCAGCAATCCCATTACTGTGTATATACCTAAAGGGATATAAACCATTCTACCATAAAGACACATGCACACATATGTTCACTGCAGCACTGTTCACAATAGCAAAGACATTGAATCAACCTAGATGCCCATCAACAGTGGACTGGTTAAAGGAAACGTGGTACATATACACCATGGAATACTATGCAGCCATAAAAAGAATGAGATTCTGTCCAGAATTGGTTCCTTCCGGTGGGTTCTTGGTCTCGCTGACTTCAAAAATGAAGCCATGAACCCTCGTGGTGAGTGTTACAGTTCTTAAAGATGGTGTGTCCGGAGTTTGTTCCTTCAGATGTTCAAATGTATCCCAAGTTTCTTCCTTCTGGTGGGTTCGTGGTCTTGCTGATTTCAGGAGTGAAGCCGCAGACCTTTGCTGTGAGTGTTACAGCTCTTAAAGGTGGTGCATCTGGAGTTGTTCATTCCTCCCAGTGGGTTTGTGGTCTCGCTGACATCAGGAGTGAAGCTGCAGACTTTCACAGTGAGTGTTACAGCTCTTAAAGGTGGTGCGTCCTGAGTTGTTCGTTCCTCCTGGTGGGTTTGTTGTCTTGCTGGCTTCAGGAGTGAAGCTGCAGACCTTAGCAGTGAGTGTTACAGCTCATAAAGGTAGTGCGGACCCAAAGAGTGAGCAGCAGCAAGATTTATTGCAAAGAGTGAAAGGACAAAGCTTCCACAGTGTGGAAGGGGACCTGAGTGGGTTGCAGCTGCTGGCTGGGGTGGCCAGCTTTTATTCCCTTATTTGGCCCTGTCCACATCCTGCTGATTGGTCCATTTTACAGAGTGCTGATTGGCACGTTTGCAAACTTTTAGCTAGACACAGAGCACTGATTGGGGCATTTCTACAGAGTGCTGATTGGTGCGTTTACAAACCTTTAGCTAGATGCAGAGTGCTGATTGGTGTGTTTTCACAGAGTGCTGATTGGTGCTTTTACAATCCTTTAGCTAGACAGAAAAGTTCTCCAAGTCCCTGCCCAACCCAGAAGCCCAGCCAGCGTCACCTCTCAAGATCATGTCCTTTGCAGGAACATGGATGGAGCTGGAGGCCATTATCTTATGCAAACTAACATAGGGACAAAAAACCAAATACCACATGTTCTCACTTATAAGTGGGAACTAAACATTGAGTACACATGGATACAAAGAAGAGAACAGTAGATATGGGGACCTACTTGAGGGTGAAGGATAGGAGGAGGGAAAGGATCAGGAAAAATACCTGTGAGATACTATGCTTATTACCTTGGTGATGAAATTATCTGTACATCAAACACACCTGACATGCAGTTTACCTATAGAGCAAACCTGTACATGTATCCCTAAAACTAAAATAAAAGTTTAAAATAAAAAAGAAAGAAATTAGTTGAATACTTTTTTCTCAGTGAAATGCTTATGCAAACAAATATCATACACTTTTATTTCAGAGATTTCGGGATCATAAAGGGTGTGTACCAAGGACAGTTTGTGACTAGCCTCCTCACATTATCCCTCACATTATCATTTCTCATCTCTTCTCCCCTAAACTTTCATGCCAACAGCAGACTAGGTAAGTTTCCCTTTCCTGCATCTCTAATGATTCAGGGCGATTAAGGTCTCCTTCTCCAGCCCCCTGCACCACCATTCCCACCCCCATCTCATCTCATCTCTGCCCAGAAGGCTGGAAGGACAAGCTGAAGCTCCCTCCTGTGTTCCCTCCCACAGCAGACACACAGACAAATCCCCACTCTACACTCACCTACCTGAGCCCTCCTAATTCCTTCTGGCTCACAATCCTACACCCTCCCACAGGGTGCTTACGTGTGCATACACACACACTCCCTGTTCTCAGGGACCCTACTCCCCTCCCCCACCCGCCTTGCTCACCTCGCCTGTGCATGGAGAAGCTCTCAAAAACCCCGTAGTTGTGTCTGCAGTAGGTGTCCAACAGACCCCGCAAGCAGCCCAAGAGGTTCTTCTGGCTGTTTGCATTCCTGGACTCTTCTCCGCTCCAGCTCCGCCACCGCCCGGAACTTTCTGACGTCCCTATGGAAGCGCGCATACTCCTTCCGGTGTGGACGAGTCTCTGCACAAACCGCATCCGCTCTGTCCCATTGCAGAAATAGCACTCGTGTTTAATCTGCTCCAAGAAATGTGCCGCAGGGACATGAAGAACCGGTTTCTTGGGCGGCATCCTAGGAAAAGAGTGATGGCTATGCCCACAATCAGCAGGGCGAGGGGCGGAACACCTTGACTGGCCCCCACCAGCCACCCCCGACCACCTAGGGGTTCCTCTTCCATCTGCCTGAGGCGGAGGGAGGCTGCGAGGGGCGTGGAATACCATTTGGGATCTGCTACCCATTTCCGAGATGAGCTGGACGCCTCTTTGCAAGGCTCTGGATCAGAATCACCTTCCTCATCACTGTCTCCTGCGCTTCCTCCTCCTGGGAGCCTCCATCCAAAAGACACTTCTGCTCCCTCCTATCATGCCACACTCTACTCATTCCTTAAACAAGACCCACTGCCTCCATTCTGTAAATGCTTCCTTAGTGCTTACCTTGTGTCTCATCTGTGCTGTCTCCTGGGAATCCAAACGGGAAAAATAGACCTCATCCCTCCGCTGGAGGAGCTTAAAGAGAAGTGAAATTGATGGCAAAAAACCAAACACGCAACACCTTATACAGGAACGAAAAATGTTAAGAGAAGTGTGGAGTTCTAGAAGAAAGAATAGGATGATCTAAATTACATTAGGGTGCCAGAGAAGGACTCTGAGAGTGACAGCTCAAATGTGACCTTACAGGTTTAGTGGGTGTGAGCCAGGGGGCAGAGTGGAGCCCGTGTGTGTCTCTGGACAAAAAGGGAGGCACATTTCAGGTAAGCATAATATCATGTACAAAAGCTTGAAAGAATTGATGAACTTCTTCAAGAAACCAGAAAAAAGTTCACTAAAGCACAGCATGAAGGAAAGGAGGGGAAAAGATTAAACTGGAGAAATCACAAGAAGGAAACAATTAAAATCATTGTCATGTTAGGATTTCGATTTATACTAAATGTAATGGGAAGCAGTTGAAGAGTCCATGACCCCAACACAGGTCCACAAACTTTTTTTTTTGGACTTTCTAAATCCAGAAAACTCACGAATTCACTTGCTGTTGTTTTTAATTTGTTGCCGAAACTCATTTGGCAAATCTGATCTGAAGAGGTAAGGACTCAAAAGTGTCACAGAGCTCTTACTGGTGACATGTGCATCTGTAGTTTCAATATATATAAACATACAAACATACGTATGCATGTGTAAATATACACAGATTTCAAATACTGTGCATGTATATATTTTTGATGTTTTTGTATTTATGTTTAAATGAACTATGAAAAATAAAAAATAAAGAAAAATCCTTGTGTTTAATAAAATGAGATGAATAGAAAGCATTTTTAAAATAATAGTTTTTTTTTTAAGTTCTGGGTACATGTGCAGGATGTACAGGTTTGTTACACAGGTAAACATGTGCCATGGTGGTTTGCTGCAGCTATCAACGCATTACCTAGGTATTAAGCCCAGCACGCATTAGCTCTTTTCCCTAATGTTCTCCCCAACTCTGCCCTCCCCCAGCAGACCCTAGTAAGTGTTGTTCTCCTCCCTGTGTCCATGTGTTCTCATTGTTTAGCTCCCATTTATATGTGAGAACATGCGGTGTTTGGTTTCCTGTTTCTGTGTTAATTTGCTGAGGATAATGGCTTCCAGCTTCATCCATGTCTCTGCAAAGGACGTGATCTCATTCCTCTTTATGGCTGCATAGTATTCCGTGGTGTATATGTACCACAGTGAATAGAAAGCATCTTACATTATCAGTAGTATAAAATGTAGAATTACTGCAGAAATCTGAGGCATTTTACTGAAAAATATTTGGGATAGTCGTCACCATTTATGACTTACAATTACCAGTTGTTGAAAGTTAATAGAGATAGTAATTATCAAGAACACATCAAAATTTTGAAATAAACTGCATAACGCAAAAAAGTAAAAATGAAAATCTTGAACCTGCATTGACTGAATGGATTCATCAAGAAAGCAGTGAATTTATGCAACTGTCTAGTTTTTTTTTTTTTTTTGGTAATGAAACAAGCAAAACTAAGCCATGAAGAGCTGAACTAAGAGATAAATGTGTTTTAAAAGTGTGAGTCTAGAATTTTTAGAAGAAACACAATGTAAACCAGTGTTCTCAGCCTTGGCACTATTGACATTTTGGACTAGATAATATTTTCTTGGTGAGAGGAGCTGTCTACTAGGGTCCCTAGCTTCTACTTGTTACATGTCAGAAGAAACTCCTGGTGTGACAACCAAAAATGGCTCCAGACATTGCCAAATGTTCCCTAGGGAGTTGGGAGAGGGAAGGGAGGGACAGAGGGGTGGTGAACTATCCCTGGGTGAGACCCACTAGTGTAACCATCTGAAAAATCTATGGTTAAAAAGCCGCTATTAATTATGGAATATTTGAGATTTACACTGAAAACTCTGCCAATATTCTATCTATTTAAAATCTTGGTCCTACATAAAACTTAGGATTTTTAGGAATCTGGTCCCAGTGCAGAGCTATTTTTCTAGCAAAATTAATACATTCAGAACCAAGGTTTACTGATTTATTTGCCTTCCCAGTCGCCAAGTCATATTCTTAATTTCTGTGTCACTGGTCCACTACTCACTGCCTCAGCTAATTCATTTTCTAACTTTCAGTTTCCTACTCCCAACAATACAAGGAGGCATCAAATTACCAACCTTGGACAGAGGCAGAACTCTCATTTCTGTAGTTAAGCCTTCTCAGAAGGGGAGTGCTATGGTTTGGCTGCGTAAGCATTTCAATCTTGTCTTGAATTGTAGCTCCCACAATTCCCACGTGTTGTGGGAGGGACCAGGTGGGAGATAGTTGAGTCATGGGGGCAGGTCTTTCCCCATGCTGTTCTCATGACAGTGAATAAGTCTTATGAGATCTGATGGTTTTATAAAGGGAAAAACCCTTTCGCTTGCTGTCATTCTTCTCTTGCCTGCCATCATGTGAGACATGCCTTTCACCTTCCGCTGTGATTGTGAGATCTCCCCAGCCACATGGAACTGTGAGTCTATTATAGCCCTTTTTCCTTATAAATTATCCAGTCTTGGGTATGTCTTTATCCGCAGCCTGAAAACAGACTAATACAGGGAGAAACTAAGAAGATGGCATTCTCTCATAGATAGTTTCCAAAAAACGAGCAAGTCCCCAGATTTTGCGTAGAGACTTTCACAAGCTCCCTTCACCCTTCAGAAATGATAGCAGAGAGGAGAGCACTTTGGATGAGATAAGGTCTATCTTATTATTCCTAAATTCTCTGAGCACCTTCTTCACAGATAAGAATGTTGAAAAATAAAAATATGTGAAATTGCCGTCACTGTAGCTTGCATGGTTAGCACTGCAGTCTATGCTCATGTGCCAAGCTTAGATTGCCATATTTAGCAAATAAAAATAGAGGGTGCCTAGTTAAATTTGGATTTCAAATACATTATTGTTGTTTATCTGAAGTTCGGATTTAACTGGGTATCCTGTACTTTATTTGGCAACCTTAGCCCAACTTGCTAATAATGCTCAGAAGGAGTGAATTTAATACTTCTTTGTGTTCTTTAACACATGCCTATGACAGCGTGCACATAGGGAAGTTTTCAAATGATAAATGCAAAATGAATGAAAGTTTCTCCTTTACATTGGGACTAGCAGACCTTGCATCTCTCTCCCACCCTGAGACACACCCTGTACATAAGAAATTCTATCAATAATTCAGACTCAGTCTAGTCACTATTCACCAATGGTGGTTGTAAGCTCAGGCTCTAGAATCAGGAAATCTGAATTTAAACATGACCCCTTCTACTAGGGTTAATTTTAACAACCATTAACCTTTAAAAAAATATATAAAATGGATCCAACAGTAATATATTCCTCACAGGATTATTGTTGAGGGTAAAACTAAGCAGTGGCTCTTCTTAGTGCTGATAATATAATAATCACTCTAATATATTACCATTTTATTTTTACAATCCCTATAAAGGAAAGCTTCATTATTTTTCTATTCCTTAACTTCTAAAGCAAGTAACGTCTACATCATGATTTGGCAATTGTCTTTTATTAATTTATCACTAATTACCATTTTAAGCACATGAGGACAGAAACACTGGTTTATATATAATAATTCATATGCCTAAACCTCACACAAAAGGAGATTGCTGATATCGAAGAGAGGGACTTCATATATACTCAGATTTAAATTGCAATCGGATTTCTAGCACTAACTTTGTGACAGTGGGTAAGTTCATTATACCCTTTGAATTTTAGATTCCAAAGATCTATATGCTTTTAAATACCAAAGATATGATAGGATAGGTATTAGATTTCCATACCAAAATTTATAAGCCTGGTAATTAGTCACTGCAAAATATTACAATACTCCGCGCTAATACAGACCAGATTTGCTTTGTTTATTACTCCATTCTCATCACCCAAGGTAATAACTAGTATATTCTAAGTCACTAATAAATATTGGCTGTATGAACTAATAGCCTTTTGCATAACCTGTCACCACTGTACACAGGGGCCTTCTAGTGCTTCATTGCCAATGACTGAGCATCTGTCTCTGGTTCACAGGTCATCCAGCTTCTTTGTTCATTTTCTTTAGATCCAGCTGGCTCCCTGATCCCAGAGCATAGTCTTTCCCTGAGGCTCGCTACTCAAAAGAGTCAAACTTCATCCAGCCCTCACTTCTTCCACCCGCTCTTCAAATGGTCCAATCCACTTTCCATCCTGGATACTCCACTGACTGCAAATATCAACTCCTCCAAACCCAGTACTTGCGTCTCTGTCACGTTCTTACTTCACTCACCTGTCAGTGGTTCTCACCACAACTGGCCACTCCCTCGCCTCGAAAAAATCATTTTTCTTTGATTCCCATGCATCACATTCCTTGGGTTTTTTTTCTCCAGCATCTCTGGGGAATCTTCTCAGTCCCTTATGCTGTCCTGTGGCCCTCTGATATTTTTTCTACACAAAAATCTATCTCCCTCTGCAACCTCTTCCACTTCCCTGGAATTTAACACAGAACCTGCATTGACCCCAACATAAATACCTCCAGCCCTGGCCTCACCCTGAACTCCTCTCTTATATTCAGTTGACTTCCTGATTGCTTCATGTGAGTTCAAAAATCATCTCAATTTTAATAAACACAATTGTCATTTCTAATCACCCACTTCAAATCATTTCCTCCCATTATTCTTCCCTATTTCAATAAGCAGCACCACCATCCACCTATTTATCAAGGCAAAATACTTAGAAATAAGTTACGTTTAATCCATTAACAAGTCATGCAAAAAGACATCCCAAGTCTGTTCACTTTATCTGGATCTGTCTTTGTCACTACTACACTACATGAAGCCAAAAATTTTTCTTCCCTGGAGAATTCTGCTGTTGTCCACTTGTGAACCCCAACAATCCAATCTCCACATAGTAGCTAGAATTATTTTTAAAATTGAATATTATCGGGGGACCTGCCCCGATAATCACGTAGGTTCTTTTCTATTTTCCTAAGCATCGGCCGGCTTGAGAAATAAAGGGACAGAGTACAAAAGAGAGAAATTTTAAAGCTGGGGGAGACATCACACGTTGGTAGGATCCACGGTGCCCCACAAGCCACAAAAACCAGCAAGTTTTTATTAGGGATTTTCAAAAGGGGAGGGAGTGTGCGAATAGGTGTGGGTGACAGACATCAAGTACTTAACAGGGTAATAGAATATCACAAGGTAAGTGGAGGCAGGGCGAGATCACAGGACCACAGGACCGAGGCGAAATTAAAATTGCTAATGAAGTTTCAGGCACCATTGTCATCAATAACATCTTATCAGGAGACATGGTTTTGAGATCAACCGATCTGACCAAAATTTATTAGGTGGGAATTTCCTCTTCCTAATAAGCCTGGGAGCGCTATGGGAGACTGGAATCTATCTCACCTCTGCAATCTCAACCATAAGAGATAGGTACGCCCCGGGGGGGCCAGTTCAGAGACCTACCCCTAGGTGTGCATTCTCTTTCTCAGGGACATTCCATGCTGAGAAAAAGAATTCAGCAATATTTCTCCCATTTGCTTTTGAAAGAAGAGAAATATGGCTCTGTTCTGCCTGGCTCACCAGCAGTCAGAGTTTAAGGTTATCTCTCTTATTCCCTGAACAATTGCTGTTATCCTGTTCTTTTTTCAAGGTGCCCACATTTCATATTGCTCAAACACACATACTATACAATTTGTGCAGTTAATGCAATTATCACATAGTCCTGAGGCGACGTACATCCTCCTCGGCTGATAGGATTAAGAGATTAAAGTAAAGGCAGGCATAGGAAATCACAAGGGTATTGACTGGGAAAGTGATAAGTGTTCATGAAATCTTTACAATTTATGTTTAGAGATTGCAGTAAAGACAGGCATAAGAAATTACAAAAGTATTAATTTGGGGAACTAATAAATGTACATAAAATCTTCACAATCCACATTCTTCTGTTCTGGCTTCAGCCGGTCCCTCTGTTTGGGGTCCCTGACTTCCCGCAACATAATATTAATGGACTCTCCTTGTAACCTTCCAGGAGCTTCAAATATGTTTAAATAAAACTTAATTCCTTACTATGGCCACCAAGGCCGAATATGATGCAGCTCCTGACTTTCTCTCTCTCTTACCTCATCTTCTGCCACTCCACCCCTTGCTTTCCATCCTTCAGCCCCTCTAACCTTCTTTCTGTCTCTTCAACACAGCACACGCCTTCCCATTCCTTGGCCTTTCCCCTTTTCTGTCTGTCTGGAACACTTGTCCCTTAGATCTTCACATGGCTGTCTTATTGTTCTTGTCTCAGCTAAATGTGAGCTCTCCTCAGGGAGGGCTCCCAAACTACCTGTGAATCCAATGTGAAGTTGGGTGAATCCAATTCTCTCTGTCCTATCACCCTGATGTCTTTTTTTAAAGGCATTATTGCTCTCTGAATTTTTCTTTTTTGTTAAATATTTATTGGGATATTGTCTGTCTCCTCTGGTATTGAGTTCCATGAGAGTAGGGATCTTTTTTATCCTATTCAAGTAGAAATCTCTCAGCCTAGAACAGAGACCAGAACAAAACTTTTGCTCAGAAACATACCTGTGGTCTAAATGAATAAACCGAAGTTCTGGGAACTGATCACTCTGGGTATTCTAGAAAGCAGAAAAGGGCTCAAGCTCCTGCACCCTTTCATTCTAATGACATGCTATATCCCTTCTCCTCCCTGTGAGAAATTAAGGCAAACTTCCTTTCTCTCCTCTTTCTAGTTGGAAGAAGGATTCACAGATAAGGAAACAGTGATTGTAAGAAAGAAAAAAATTTTCATTAAGAATTACCTCTTTTCTGCCGGGCGCAGTGGCTCACGCCTGTAATCCTAGCACTTTGGGAGGCTGAGGCAGGCGGATCATGAGGTAAGGAGTTTGAGAACAGCCTGGCCAACATGGTGAAACCCCGTCTCTACTAAAAATACAAAAATTACCTGGGAGGTGGAGGTTGCAGTGAGCTGAGACTGCACCATTGCACTCCAGCCTGGGCAACAGAGTGAGACTCCATCTCAAAAAAAAAAAAAAAAGAATTATCGGTTTTTTTTTTAATAGTTTAAGTTCTAGGGTACATGTGCACAATGTGCAGGTTTGTTACATATGTATACATGTGCCACGTGGTGTGCTGCACCCATTAACTCTTCATTTACATTAGGTATATCTCCTAATGCTATCCCTCCCCCCTTCCTCCACCCCACAACGGGCCCCATGTGTGAAGTTCCCCTTCCTGTGTCCATGTGTTCTCATTGTTCAATTCCCACCTATGAGTGAGAACATGCGGTGTTTGGTTTTTTGTCCTTGCAATAGTTTGTTGAGAATGATGGTTTCCAGCTTCATCCATGCCCCTGCAAAGGACATGAACTTATCCTTTTTTATGGCTGCATAGTATTCCATGGTGTATATGTGCCACATTTTCTTAATCCAGTCTATCATTGTTGGACATTTGGGTTGGTTCCAAGTCTTTGCTATTGTGAATAGTGCCACAATAAACATACATGTGCATGTGTCTTTATAGCAGCATGATTTATAATCTTTTGGGTATATATCCAGTAATGGGATTGCTGGGTCAAATGGTATTTCTAGTTCTAGATCATTGAGGAATCGCCACACTGATTTCCACAATGGTTGAACTAGTTTACAGCCCCACCAACAGTGTAAAAGTGTTCCTATTTCTCCACATCCTCTCCAGCACCTGTTGTTTCCTGACTTTTTAATGATCTCCATTCTAACAGGTGTGAGATGGTATCTCATTGTGGTTTTGATTTGCATTTCTCTGATGGCCAGTGTTGATGAGCATTTTTTCATGTGTCTTTTGGCTGCATAAATGTCTTCTTTTGAGAAGTGTCTGTTCATATCCTTCACCCACATGTTGCTTGGGTTGTTTGTTTTTTTCTTGTACATTTGTTTGTGTTTTTTGTAGTTTCTGGATATTAGCCCTTTGTCAGATGAGTAGATTGCAAACATTTTCTCCCATTCTGTAGGTTGCCTGTTCACTCTGATGGTAGTTTGTTTTGCTGTGCAGAAGCTCTTTAGTTTAATTAGATCCCATTTGTCCATTTTGGCTTTTGTTGCCATTGCTTTTGGTGTTTTAGACATGAAGTCCTTGCCCATGCCTATGTCCTGAATGGTATTGCCTAGGTTTTCTTCTAGGGTTTTTATGGTTTTAGGTCTAACATGTAAGTCTTTAATCCATCTTGAATTAACTTTTGTATAAGGTGTAAGGAAGGGATCCAGTTTCAGCTTTCTACATATGGCTAGCCAGTTTTCCCAGCACCATTTATTAAATAGGGAATCCTTTCCCCATTTCTTGTTTTTGTAAGGTTTGTCAAAGATCAGATGGTTGTACATATGTGGCATTATTTCTGAGGGCTCTGTTCTGTTCCCTTGATCTCTATCTCTGTTTTGGTTACTGTAGCCTTGTAGTATAGTTTGAAGTCAGGTAGCATGATGCCTCCAGCTTTGTTCTTTTGGCTTAGGATTGACTTGGCAATGAGGGCTCTTTTTTGGTTCCATATGAACTTTAAAGTAGTTTTTTCCAATTCTGTGAAGAAAGTCATTGGTAGCTTGATGGGGATGGCATTGAATCTATAAATTACCTTGGGCAGTATGGCCATTTTCATGATATTGATTCTTCCTACCCATGAGCATGGAATATTCTTCCATTTGTTTGTGTCCTCTTTTATTTCGTTGAGCAGCAGTTTGTAGTTCTCCTTGAAGAGATCCTTCACATCCCTTGTAAGTTGGATTCTTAGATATTTTATTCTCTTTGAAGCAATTGTGAATGGGAGTTCACTCAAGATTTGGCTCTCTGTCTGTTATTGGTGTATAAGAATGCTTGTGATTTTTGCACATTGATTTTTTATCCTGAGACTTTGCTGAAGTTGCTTATCAGCTTAAGGAGATTTTGGGCTGAGACGATGGGGTTTTCTAGATATACAATCATGTCATCTGCAAACAGGGACAATTTGACTTCCTCTTTTCCTAATTGAATACCCTTTATTTCCTTCTCCTGCCTGATTGCCCTGGCTAGAACTTCCAACACTATGTTGAATAGGAGTGGTGAGAGAGGGCATCTTTGTCTTGTGCCCGTTTTCAAAGGGAATGCTTTCAGTTTTTGCCCATTCAGTATGATATTGGCTGTGGGTTTGTCATAAATAGCTCTTATTATTTTGAGATACATCCCATCAATACCTAATTTATTGAGAGTTTTTAGCATGAAGGGTTGTTGAATTTTGTCAAAGGCCTTTTCTTCATCTATTGAGATAATCATGTGGTTTTTGTCGTTGGTTCTGTTTATGTGCTGGATTACCTTTATTGATTAGCATTTGTTGAACCAGCCTTGCATCCCAGGGATGAAGCCCACTTGATCATGGTGGATAAGCTTTTTGATGTGCTGGTGGATTCGGTTTGCCAGTATTTTATTGAGGATCTTTGCATCGATGTTCATCAGGGATATTGGTCTAAAATTCTCTTTTTTTTCGTTGTGTCTCTGCCCGGCTTTGGTATCAGGATGATGCTGGCCTCATAAAATGAGTTAGGGAGGATTCCCTCTTTTTCTATTGATTGGAATAGTTTCAGAAGGAATGGTACCAGCTCCTCCTTGTACCTCTGATAGAATTCGGCTGTGAATCTGTCTGGTCCTGGACTTTTTTGGTTGGTAAGCTATTAATTATTGCCTCAATTTCAGAGCCTGTTATTGGTCTATTCAGAGATTCAACTTCTTCCTGGTTTAGTCTTGGGAGAGTGTATGTGTCGAGGAATTTATCCATTTCTTCTAGATTTTCAAGTTTATTTGTGTAGAGGTGTTTATAGTATTCTCTGATGGTAGTTTGTATTTCTGTGGGATCGGTGGTGATACCCCTTTATCATTTTTTATTGCATCTATTTGATTCTTCTCTCTTTTCTTCTTTATTAGTCTTATTAGCGGTCTATCAGTTTTGTTGATCTTTTCAAAAAACAAGCTCCTGG
Source organism: Homo sapiens (assembly GCF_000001405.40). Lineage (NCBI taxonomy): Eukaryota > Metazoa > Chordata > Mammalia > Primates > Hominidae > Homo > Homo sapiens. Next base: position 3,811,414 of record NT_167247.2, read on the forward strand.
ATTCATTGACTTTTTTGAAGGGTTTTTTGTGTCTCTATTTCCTTCAGTTCTGCTCTGATCTTAGTTATTTCTTGCCTTCTGCTAGCTTTTGAATGTGATCGCTCTTGCTTCTCTAGTTATTTTAATTTTGATGTTAGGTTGTCAGTTTTAGATCTTTCCTGCTTTCTCTTGTGGGCATTTAGTGCTATAAATTTCCCTCTACTTTAAAGCCAGAATTAGTTTCTAAAACTGAACATGAATTGACTCTCCTTGTAACCATCCAGTAGTGTCTCACATCTATTTAAATAAAATTCAGGCTGGGTACGGAGACTAATGATTGTAATCCCAGCAGTTTGGGAAGCCAAGGCAGGCAGATTACCGGAGGTCAGGAGTTCGAGACCAGCGTGGCCAACATGGTAAAACCCTGTCTCTACTAAAAATACTAAAAAATTAGCCTGGCATGGTGGCAGGCGCCTGTAGTCCCAGCTACTCGGGAGGCTGAGGCAGGAAAATCACGTGAGCCCAGGAGGCAGAGGTTGTAGTGAGCCGAGGCCACTCCATTGCATCCAGCCTGGGCAACAAGAACGAAACTCCATCTCAAAAAATAAATAATGAAATAAAAAAATGAAAATAAATAAAATAAAATTCAAATTTCTTACCATGGACATCAGAGCCTAATATAATGAGGCTCCTGACTTCCTCTCTGCTTCCTACCTCACCCTCTGCCTCTGCATTTCCTTGAATGCTATAGTTCAGTGTCTCTAGCCTTCTTTCTGTCCCTGCACGTAATTTCCCACCCCAGGGCTTCCCGCCCCCCCTGCCCCCACATTCTGTCTCCCTGGAACTTTCGTCCCTTAGATCTTCACATGGCTCTCTACTTATTTTGTTGTCTCAGCTGAATGTCACTTTCTCAGGCAGAGCTTTCTAAACACATGAGCTAAAGTTGGGTGAATCCATTTCTCTCTTTTCCACAAACCTGATGTCTTTTCTTCAGTGCACTATTACTCTCTAACGTTATCTTCTTTGTTAATTGCATATTGGGTTAATGTCTGTCTCCTCTATTGTTGTGTAACTTCCATGAGCGTCGGGACCCTCTCTATCTTAATCAAATACAATGATTTGAACTTGGAATGGAGCCGAGTACACAGTAGCTGCTGAGAAAAATAAGTGTGGTTTACAAGAATAAACCAGGGATCTGGGAACTGATCACTGTTTGGATCCTGGAAAGCAAGAAGGGGCTCAAACTCCAGCACTCTTTCATTTTGATGTCACACTAGACCCCTTCTCCTCCCGGTGTGAAATACAGGCAAAGTTCTTCTTTCTCCTCCTTCTAGTTGTAAGAATTCACAGATAAAGATTAACAGTGATTTAAGAAATAATAAATTTTTAAATTAAGATTCATCTATTTTTTGCCTGGGTGCGGTGGCTCAAACCTATAACCCTAGCATGTTGGGAGGTCAAGGCTGGAGGATTGCTTGAGTCCAGCAGTTTAAGACCAGCCTGGGTAACATAGCAAAATCTCATCTCTAGCAAAATTACAAAAATCAGCTGGGCATGGTTTCCTGCCTGTAGTCTCCACTACTCTGGAGGCTGAGGAGGGAGGCTCGCTTGAGCCTGGGAGGCAGAGGTTGCAGTAAGCCTAGATCATAACACTGAACTACAGCATGGGTGACAGAGCCAGGCCTTGTCTCAAAAAAAGGAAAAAATCTCTTTCAATGGATCTCATAGTGCTCTGGGTCTGTGCAAGCTTTAGGAATTTCTGGAAATGATGACAACATAGCTGGGGAAAAATAAAAACTGGAGGAAGAGGTAAGCAGACATGGCTAATTAAGGAAAGCTGAGGGCATGACGGGTGAACCTAGGAAATTTAAGACAAGACCCCAGTAAGACAATGAGTTCCCAGGACTTGCTCATTGACTTTCAGCCCTATGAGATGTGAACAATGTCCGCATTGTCTCTGTAACCTCACACAGTATATAGTTTGAACATTATTAAATTTCTGATATTTGACTGTTTTTGACTTACAAAAATAGAATTTCATATAATTTATCTTACGTTAGTTGAATATCTTCTTGTTATGTCTAGTTAGAGCATGTAGGACATGTAGGAGAAATTTCTATAGAAAGGTTAGAAGAGATTCATAATAAACACTAAGCCGGGCCAGGTTTTCCGAGGATGCCTTAAGTTCTTTAGGCACCAAAGAACACCCCAGAGATGCTCTTTATCTGTAGGGTGACTCCAAGTACTAAAGATCTTAGCTTCAGTTCCAGGGATTTTTCCCCATAAGAAAGACAGAGCACTAAGTATAACTTCTGTCAGAGAACCTACATACACTACAGGGATATAGGCTTTATAAACATTGGAGTTCAGAAAGAAAAAGAAAGGAGATAATGGGGAGGCCATTGGTACATCCTCACATTTGAGGAAGAGGGGCCAACACCAAAGTTCCTGTGGAGGACATAACCCAGGATCCTCTAGAAGAGACCCTTTGAATTATCTTGACTCCCACAAAATTTTCAGTAAAAACGTCATTTTGTCTGACGTAAGTCAACATAATAAAGGGAAGTGCTGTATGGGGAAATTATTTTAGCATCCTTATTGCCAAATCCTCTAAACACCCTGAGGACATGTGATGCAAAGGTTTTATTGGTGGAGATTTAAAAAGAAATGATCTGTACGAAGGCCCCTTACACAGTCTTATGGACTGTGTCATGAGCAAGTAGTCAAGCTCCTTTCGTGGAGGAGATAATTTGGGATCCAATAATACAGATGCACAATCTCTGACCAAAACGTCACAAAGTCTTAAGGGACATGGCCTGGGCACAATGTTAACAAAACTCTCTATTTTCCCCACCCCATAGTAGCTCAGCACCCACAATGTGCGCTTATGTCGGGTGTCCCCAGCCAAAGCCAGTGGGAAGCTCAGCACCATCAGTGTCACTGTCAGCGCTGCCATGCAGGAGCCTTCAGGGAGCTTCAGACACACCATGCTGGAGAACAGGAAAGGACCAGGGGCCAGAGGAGGAGGCAAGTCTTACTCAGGAAGAACTATGAACCCCTCCACCCACATTCCAAATTATGGGGTTGGAAGTTACTGACTTTCTTGCTCCTGGGTCGGGTAATCTCGTGTTGGAGAACCAATCAGCATCTGAGTTCAATAGCATCATCAGTTGCTGGTCAGAGATGCTGTATGAAGGTCCTCTTCTGAAACAGAATTTCCTTCTTTAAAGGATTGTTTTTAAATTAGTGCTTGAAAGATTTGATCCAGTTGCATGTAAAACACTTTAATTGGGTCCGATTGTGAGCCAGCTCTGTGCTGGTCAGTGATGTGTTCGTAAGTTTGAGCCTTGTAAGAGCATTCATTTCCCACTTGACAAGACAACTGTTTGCAGAAGTGAGTGTGTGAGTGTGTTTAGGAGTAAAGGAGATGGAAGGAACATGGTTGTAAATCCGGAGACATTTAAACTGGTCCTTATTGCACCATATCTTAATGTTGTAGATTTGGGAAAATTATTTCGTGTCTCACAGTTGAAATGAAGGCACTGTGATCTTTCAGGTCTTTCGATACTGGAAAATGCTGTGATTCTGTGGACGCCTGAAGGAGCAGCAGCCCCGGGTATCTGATAATATGACAGAATGACAGCTATTGACTAGAGAGCTTAATCCGTACCTGTTTACAGGTAGGGATGTCTTTAATAAGTTAAAGGAAATTGAAAGTTTGTTAATAATTTAATCTGAGTAAGAATATCTTTTTCAAGTGTGTCTCCTGATGCTGCCCCCAGGTTTAGTGGCCCCTCCAGAACACACACAGGCAAGGGGCTAACAGGGGCCACCTATGTGCAATGGAGGGTCTGAAGGTGCCTTTGTATGGCACTTACCCTAACAATGTGATAAGGTCAACTGTGCAATCCAAGTATTCATGGGTCTGAGAGATCGATCGAAGACTGTGAAAGTTAGCTGTTCATAGAACAACTCTTTTTTTTTTGAGACGGAGTCTGTCTCTGTTGCCCAGGCTGGAGTGCAGTGGAGCGATCTCAGCTCACTGCAACATCTGCCTCCTCGGTTCAAAGATTCTCCTGCCTCAACCTCCCAAGTAACTCTGACTACAGGCACTTGCCACCATGCTTGGTTAATTTTTTGTATTTTTAGTGGAGATGGGTTTCACTGTGTTAGCCAAGATGGTCTCGATCTCCTGACCTCATGTTCTTCCTGCCTCGGCCTCCCAAACTGCTGGGGTTACAGGCGTGAGCCATCGTGCCTGGCCACATTATGTTTTAAAATAATGAATATTTTATGTGAAGAGTGTTCAATCCCTCATTCTTGGTTCCCATTATGATTTCCTCATTTGATTGAGGCTATAGCACTTTATATTATGTTTCTCTTGTTTTATCATAAGGGAAGATAAAAGACGACTTTGCTAACTAATACATTTCAGAATATTCAGGAAAGAGAACACTAGGGAAAACTATGAATTACATCAGTTGATGTAACTATGTAATATTAAACATATTATTATACATTTAGATAATGACTATGCTTTTTATTAATATAAATATAACATCTAAGATTCAGAATGGACTTCAGAATACAACTATGCTTATAAAGTTCTGCATTAATTCACATGCTACCACATAGGCACTCATTTGTCTTTTTTTTGTTTGTTTGTTTGTTTGTTTGTTTTGAGATGGAGACTCGTTCTGTCGCCCAGGCTGGAGTGCAGTGGCGCGATCTCTGCTCACTGCAAGCTCAGCCCCCCAGGTTCATGCCATTCTCCTGCCTCAGCCTCCTGGGTAGCTGGGACTACAGGCGCCCGCCACAACTCCCGGCTAATTTTTTTGTATTTTTAGTAGAAACAGGGTTTCACTGTGTTCGCCAGGATGGTCTCAATCTCCTGACCTTGTGGTCTGCCTGCCTCGGCCTCCGAAAGTGCTGGGATTACAGGCGTGAGCCACCGCGGCCGGCCTAAAGTCTGTAACCTGTCTTTATGGAGAACTACTTTTGAGGCCGTACACTTCTTTCAGTAACAATATTGTCTAAGTAATGGTATGGCAAAGTTGTTTCTACCTTTTCTGGAGCTATTTTGACATTCCATTTAGTTAAAGCCTACTTTGTTTCTTGGAATAAGCGATGTAAGATTTGATCTATAGGAGCGGCCAAAAGAATGTCATCCATAAAATGAATGATGTAAGCAGTAGGAAACATATTTCGAGGCTCCTTTAATGCCTGTCCTACAAAATGCTGACATAACGTAGGACTGTTAAGCATGCCTTGGGGTAAAACTCTCCATTGATAGCAAGAAACAGGTTCTTTTTGATTAATAGAAGGCACAGAGAAGGCAAATCGAGGCTTATCCTTCTCCTGTAATGGTATAGTGAAGAAACAATCCTTAAGATGTATTACTACAAGAAGCCAATCTCTAGGAATGACCACTGGAGTTGGCAAACCTTGCTGTAATGGACCCATTGGTTCAATTTGTGCATTAACTCCAAACATGCAGCAGTCACCACCTTCCAGACTTTTTTGGAATAACAAACACTGGTGAATTCTGGGGGCTAACTGACTCCTCTATATGTCCTGTGTCCAGTTGTTCTTATACTAGCTGCTGAAGTTGTGTCAGCTTCTCCTGAGATAGGGGCCATTGATCCACCCATACGGGTTTGTCACTGGCCATTCTAATGGTAAGGCAGAGGGTGGAGGAGAAATATCAATGACCTCCATCAGAAATCCTGACGTCCTAGCCCTCTTCTATCTGTTTTTTCCAGTTATTGATATTGGGTTAGGTTTTCCTTGTAGGAATTTCCCTAAACCTTTCCCACTCTGATATCCCATGTCCTTCAACATTTTAAATCCTGGGTTATCAAAGTTTTCATTTGTAAGTCTCATATTCCATTCTGTAAGTAAGTCTCGATCCCATAAATTGATTGCCATATTTGCAACATAAGGCTGAAAAGTACATGGCTGTCCATCCGGACCAAGACAAGGTAAAATGTCAGCACTCTGTTGAACACTTTTAGCTGCTCCTCCTCCCACTAGGGATGTGGAGGTTAGTCTGAGAGACCATACTGGGGGTCAGTCCTTACTGGATATTACTGACACTTCAGCTCCTCTATCCATAAGTCCTATGGGCTATGGGATGGGATAGATAGATTTCCCTTGTAGTTGTGCTCCCAAACCCTTTATTTCCTCGTTTCTCCTTTCGTGGAGAAGGATAAGGATTTAATTTGCAGGGAATAAGCAACGACTGAGCAATATATTCTCCCAGTTCAAAAATGCAAAGATTTTTGACATTAAAACTACTTGAATTTCTCCTTCATAAATGGAATCAACTATTCCAGGGACTACAGTCATGCCTTGCAAGTTAAGGGGGCTTTTGCCTAAAATTAGTCCTATGTATCCTGTTGGTAAAAGTCCCCAAATGCCAGTGGGAACCTTGTAGGTTTGTCTCCTCCAACTAATGTAGTTCTTTCTCTGGTGGGGATATCTAATCCTGCACTTCCTGGTGTTCCTGAGGTGAGGAACACCAGGAATCAATGTTTTTCCTGAGACCCATCCCTGAAGTGGGACTGTGGTCTGAACTGGAAATGCCCTCATTGTTTGAGGGGCCCGGATCCAGGCCCCCTTCTAGTTTCCCGACACGGGGATGTTGTTTTGATGAAATTTTGAGCGGCACTGATTAGCCTAGTGATTTCCTTTGTTACAGTGAGGACAAAGTCCTGGTGTTTTTTTCCGCTGGGTGGGGCACTGCATCGTAATGTCCTTTCTGTCCTGAGATCTGGTGGAATTCCTTTTTAAAATGTCCAGTTTTGGCTGGGCATGGTGGCTCATGCCTGTAATCCAAGCACTTTGGGAGGCCAAGGTGGGCGGATTACAAGGTCAGGAGATCGAGACCATCCTGGCTAACATGGTGAAACCCCATCTCTTAAACAAATACAAAAAATTAGCTGGGCGTAGTGGCGGGCGCCTGTAGTCCCAGCTACTTGGGAGGCTGAGGCAGGAGAATGGCATGAACCTGGGAGGAGGAGCTTGCAGTGAGCCGAGGTTGCACCACTGCACTCCAGCCTGGACGACAGAGCGAGACTCCATCTCAAAAAAAAAAAAAAAAGTACAGTTTTTCCACAGTTATAACATTTTCCCATTTTAGGGTTTGACCCTTGGTTCCTTTTAGATTTGTCAACTGCTAAATTAGCCATTGCCTGCACTAATATTGTAGAGCGATGAAGCTCATTTCCCACATCTTGACAAGCTCTGAGAAAATTTCCCAAGTTTTTTGTACACCTCACAGGTGCCGATGCACATTTACAATCTGCATTTGCATTCTCAAAAGCTAGAGTTAAGGTTAGCATCTCTGCAGCAGTGGTGTGATAAATCTGATGCTTCATTGCCTTTTATAGTCATGCAAGAAATTGTGCATAAGGTTCTTGCGACCCTTGCATGATATGTAAAAAGGATTGCACTGGGACTCCCTCTTCTGGAATTGTGGCCCAGTTGCATTTGGCAGCCTGTGCACACTGCTGGCATTTGGGAGTGCCATTTGATGTTCCAGGTCTGAATAAGGGCCATTACCTAAGAGCATGTCCTCTGTAATGTCTCTGTGTCCAGCCACACAATTCTGTCTAGCCTGGTCTGCACACATTTCTTGCCAATTTAAATTCCATGTCAGGTATGCACTAGGAGACAAACAAGTGTAAGCCAAATTCTTTACATCGAAGGGTAGAAGGCGCACAGCACCAAATACAGATACTAGCCATCCTAAAGTGAACAGGCTGTGTACACCATTATTTACCACACTCCTTTTAATTCCTTCAACAACTTAAACTCTAGTGGAGTGTGTTCATGAATAAGCTGCTATGGATTATTTGGATCAGGCCTTACAGAAATAGGAAAAGTGCAAGGTCCTAAGGGCTCTCCAGCTATGGCAGCACGGTGTAAAATTCTCTGTATTGGGGTCTCTATTTTTGCTACCGAAGGAGGCGGTACAGATGTTTCTGCTATTGGAGGAGGCGGTATAGGCCAATTTTTATCCTCCTTCTCCTGTTTTTTATTTTCAATTGGAGCTGTGGGTGGGACAACAGATTTTTTCAGATTTTTAGACTCAGAACATCACTCCTGCTGTCCAGCAGAAGAAGGAGATAATGGCAGAAGGACAGTATAGACTAAACTCCAAGTGGAGAAAACAGAAGGATCAACTTTGAGACCTTTTTACTGAGCCCATTTTAATCCTTCTGCTCTGTCCCAATTTTCCATATCAAGAGTGCCTGTCTGTGGGAACCATGGGTTATACATAATAACCTCCTGCAGCATTGTAGTTAATGTCTGAGATCTAACCTGAGCACCAGATTATTTCAACAAAACTTTAAGCAACTGCTCATAATGTTTTTCTTCAATAGACAAATTCTGCCTCACGTTACCCTGATTTAGAAAACTTCCCGTTCCCAATACTTCTTTAGAGCACTGACCTTATATTGCTCCCAGTACCTCTTTAGGGCACTGACCTTATATCAGCTGCCAGCAGACTCATCTCGGGGTCCCCATTCGTCTTGTCAATTTCAGTTCCTCTGCTCCACCAGATCTTCTTTGTTCACATTCTCATGTCCCTGTGTTTAGAAACCACTACGGTGTCGCCCTGTCGCTGTTTGAACATCACTATGCCATGGACCCTGTTGGACTGAACAAAGGAGGATGAACATGGAAATAAAGACAAAAGAATATATTTGGAAGAAGGGGTCAGGGGCACCTTGCTCTTTGTGAACAAAGGCCCTGAGCCTTGAGCTTCCTTCGTATTTACTGAGAAGAGATAGCAAGGAGGGGGTCGTTGTCGGTCTGCTGCTTGCTCCAGAGCAGCCTTGCAAGACTACATTCCTTGAACAATAGATTCTAGATGTCCCAGTAGATAACCTGAAGGAGCTCTGCACCAGGGAGTGATTGCCCTCAGCAAACCTTCTGGTGGCCAGCACAGAGGAGAGTTTGCCCCTGCTCTGTATTCATGATAAACAGTTTGCTGTTTGATCATATTGCCTCAGTGGAAATTCTGAATTGGTCATGATTCTCCAGCCTCCGGCTCTCTACACTGAATGGATTCAACAAGAAAGTGGTTGAATTTATGCAACTGTCTAGTTATTTATAATGAAACAAGCAAAAATTAACCATAAAGAAGTGAATTGGGTGGTGATTGTATAAAAGATGTGAGTCTAGGCCAGGCATGGTGGCTCACGCCTGTAATCCCAGCAATTTGGGAGGCTGAGGCGGGCAGATCACGAGGTCAGAAGATCGAGACCATCCTGGCTAACACGGTGAAAACCAGTCTCTACTAAAAAAATACAAAAAATTAGCCAGGTGCAGTGTCGGGCACCTGTAGTCTCAGCTACTCGGGAGGCTGAGGCAGGAGAATGGCATGAACCCAGAGGCGGAGCTGGCAGTGAGCCGAGATTGTGCCACTGCACTCCAGCCTGGGTGACAGAGTGAGACTCCATCTCAAAAAAACAAAACAAAACAAAACAAAACAAAACAAAACAAAACAAAACAAAAAGATGTGAGTCTAGACTTTTCAGAAAGAGCACAGTGTGAACCAGTGCTCTCAACCTCAGCACTGTTGACATTTTGGACCAGGTAATTCTTCGTTGGTGATGGAGGCTGTTGTGTACATTGCAGGTTCTCTAGAAGTGTCCCTGGCTTCTACTCATTAAATATCAGAAGAAATCCCTGTTGTGACAACCAAAAATTCCTCCAAACATTGCCACATGTTCCCCAAGGGTGATGGGAGGGAAGGGAGGGGGTGGTGAACTATCCCTGGGTAAGAACCATGGGTGTGAACCATCTGAAAAAATCTGTGTTGAACAAGCCACTATCAGTTATGGAGCAGCTGAGAATTACTTTGAAAAACATCTGTTGAAAATCTTGGTCCTACATAAAATGAAAATGTTGTAGAATTCTGGTCCCAATACAGTGCTATGTTTCCAGAAAATGAACTTGTGGAGAACCAAGATTTACTGATTTCCTTGCCTTTATAATCAGTCATCAAATCATATCATTTATCTTTCATAGCATCTTCTTTCTTAATTTCTGTGCCACTGGTCCACTAATTATCTGTAGTAATGAATCACAACCAGAGCCATTTGATTCCCATTTAATGCCCCAACTAACTCATTTCTCTCAGTCTCCCACTCCCAACAATACTAACAGGCATCAAATTTCCAGCCTTGGCCAGAGGTAGAACTCTCGGTTTTGTAGTCAATTCCCCTCAGAAAGGGAGAAACCAAGAAAATGACATTCTCATACAGGCAGTTTGCAAAAATGAGCAGGTCCCCAGACTTTGAGTATGACCTTTGCAAAGCTCCCTTTGCCCTTTAGAAACGATGCCCTGGATCAAAAATGTCTGTCTTTTTATTCTTAAATTATCTAAGCACTTTCTTTACAGAGAGAAAGTTAAAAAATAAACATGTGTGAAGTCGCTGTCACTGTGGTTTGCATGACTAGCACTGTAATCCATGCTCATGTGTCCCAGTTAGGGTCAAAAGGTTTGGCAAATAAAACCAGAGGATGCCCACTTAAATTTGGATTTCCAATAAATTATGGTGTGTATCTGAAATTCAGATTTAACTAGGAACCTGTATTTTATTTGGCAACCTCAGGCCAACTTGCTAGTCAAACCTCAGAACAAGGAGTGATTTAATACTTCCTTGTGTTCTTCAACACATGCCCAGGAGAGACATATAGAACTTTTAAAATGATAAATGCAAAATGAATGAAAGTTTCTCCTATACATTGGAACTAGCAGCCCTTGCATCTCTGCTCCCACTTCAAGAAACAACCTGATACATATGAATATCAGGAATTCTGTCAATAATTCAGACACAATTTGGTCACTACTCACTAATAATTGGCAGACTCTCAATCTCTAGAATCAGAAAATCTGAATGGAAACATAATCTCTTCTACTTGGGTCAATTTTTACTAACCAAAGCCTTTTTGTAATCTATCAAATGCATTTAATAATAGCATCATCTTCACAGGGTTATTTTTAAGTGTAAAATTAAATAATGACTTCTTAGCACTGACCACATAATAAACACTCAAAAATATTTTCATTTTAATTTTTTATGATCCCTTTAACTGCAGCTCACATTATTTTCCTTATTCCTTGATTCTAAAGCAATTAGTATCTTCATCATGATTTTGCAATTGTTTTCTGTTCTTCTATTAGTTTCATAAAGAATTGTCATTCTGAAAACATAGGGCAGAAACACTAGCTTATGTCTAATAATGCAGTATACCTAAACAAACCTCACACAAAAGGCATCTGCTGACATAGGAGAAAGGGACTTTCTACATGCTCAGATTTAAACTGCAATCTGATTTCTAGCACTACATTTGGGATACTGGGTTTTACTTATATCTTCTCAATTTTAGATTCCAGAGATGTATATGTTTTTAAACACCACAGATACAATAGGATCATTATTGAAATTGTATACTGAAAATCAAAGGCCTGGTACACAGTCACTGCAAAATGTTATATGGCATGTACTGATGGAGACCAGGTTCATTTTATTCATCACTCCATTCTCATGACTTAGAGCAGTAGCTGGCATATTCTAAGTCACTAATAAATATGGGTTGTGTGAAATATTGGCTGTGTGATGTTTTGCATGAACATTCACCACTGCACACAGGGACCCTCTCGTACTTCCTTGCCAATGATGACTGAGCATCTCTGGTTCACAGATCCTCCTGCTTCTCTTCAGCCTTTTTAGTCTTTTCCTTTAGATTCAGCTGGCTTCCTGAACCCAGAGCGCAGTCCTTCCCTGAATCTCTCTACTCAGAACAGTCAACCTTAACCTCATCCTCACTTCTACTTGCTGTTCAAATGGTCCATTCCATTTTCCATCCTGGATACTCCATTGACTGCAAATACCAACTCCAGCAAACCCAGCACTTGCTTCTCTCTCACATTCTCACTTCACCCACTTTGTGATACTCATTGGCTTCTCCCTTCTTGAAAAAAATCTATTTTCCTTGACTTACATGCATTGTGTTCTCTTGGTTTTTCTCCAACATCCCTGGGGCTCCCTCTCAGTCCCCTTTGCTGGCCTGTGACTTCTTTTTTCTACACACAAGCTATTACCCTATGTATCCTCTTCCACTCCCTGGAATTTAACAGAGTACATGTATTGATGCTGTCAACAGAAACACCTCCAGCCCTGAACTCACCGTGAGTCTCTTAAATTCCCTTGACCTTCTGATTGTTCCACATAAATGTCAATAAATCATTTCCAACCACCCACTTCAAATAATCTCCTCCCACAGTTTTCCCTATCTCAATAAACACCACCACCATCCACTTATTTGTCAAGACAAAATCCTTAGGAATAAGCTTGATTGTTCTATCCCCTCTACAGTAATCCATTAACAGGCTAAGCAAATTACATGCCGAGTCTGTCCACTTCATCTTTTTCACTGTCTTTGTCACTAATGCACACCAGGAAGCCATGAGCCTATTTTCCCTGAGGATTCCCTGCTGTGCTCCTAAATAGTCTTCCTGACCACTTGTGAACCCCAGCAATCCAATCCCCACAAAGTAACTAGAATTAGTTTTAAAAATTGAATATAAATGGACTCTCCTTGTAACCATGCAGTAGCTTCCCATATCTGTTTAAATAAAATTAAAATTTCTTACTATGAACATCAGGGCCTAATATGATGAGGCTCCTGACTTCCTCTCTGCATCCTACCTCATCTTCTGCCTCTCCATTTTCTTGCTTCCTATACGTCAGCCCCTCTAGCCTTCTTTCTGTCCCTGCACATAATTTCCCCCCCAGGATTTCCCCCACATTTTGTCTCCCTGGAAATTTTGTCCCTTAGATCCTCACGAGTGTCTACTTATTTTGTTGTCTCAGCTGAATGTCACTTTCTCAGGTAGAGCTGCTTAAGCATATGAACCAAAGTTGGGTGGATCCAATTCTCTCTTTCCACAAACCTGATGTCTTTTCTTCCATGCACAATGACTCTCTGAAATTTTCTTCTTTGTTAAATGATTATTGGGTTATTGTCTATCTCCTCTATGATTGTGTAATTTCCATGAGTAGGGGCCAATCCACTGTATCTTACTCAAATAGAATGATTTGAACCTAGAAGGGAGGCCAGTACACAGTAGCTGCTGATAAAAATAAGTGTGGTTTATATGAATAAACCAGGGTTCTGGGAACTGATCACTGTTTGGATCCTGAAAAGCAAGAAGGGGCTCAAGCTCCAGCACTCTTTCATTTTGATGTCATACTAGACCCCTTCTCTTCCCTGTGAGAAATACAGGCACACTACTTCTTTCTCCTCCTTCTAGTTGGATGAATTAACAGATAAGGAAACTAATTTTTTTCTTTTTTTTTTTTATTTTTGGGATGGAGTCTAGCTCTGTCGCCAGGCTGCAGTGCAGTGGCGTGATCTGGGCTCACTGCAACCTCCGCCCCCTGGGTTCAAGTGATTCTCCTGCCTCAGCCTCCCGAGTAGCTGGGATTACAGGCATGTGCTACCATGCCCAGCTAATTTTTTTATTTTTAGTAAAGACGGGTTTCATCATGTTGGCCAGGATGATCTCGATTTCGTGGCCTCGTGATCTGCCCACTTCGGCATCCCAAAGTGCTGGGATTACAGGCATGAGCCACTGAGCCTGGCCAAGGAAAGAGTAATTTTAAGAAAAAGGAATTGTTTTTTTTAAATTAAGATTCATCTCTTTCTGGCTGGGCATGTTGGCTCTCATCTGTAATCCTAGCATGTTGGGAGGCAGGAGGATCGCTTGAGCCCAGGAGTATAAGACCAGCCTGGGCAATATAGCAAAATGCAGTCTCTACCAAAATTACAATAATTAGCTGGGTGTGGTTTCCTGCCTGTAGTCCCAGCTACTCTGGAGGCTGAGGAGGGAGGATCACTTGAGCTTTGGCGGCAGAGGTTGCAGTGAGCCTCTATCGCACCACTTCACTACAGCCTGGGTGCGAGCCAGGCCCTGCCTCAAAAAAGGAAGAAATTATCTCTTGTGATGAACCTCATAGTGCTCTAGGTCTGTGCAAGATTTAAGGATTTTGGGAAATAATGACAACATAGCTGGGGAAAAATAGAGAGAAACTGGAGGAAGAGGTAAGCGGACATGGCTAATTAAGAAAAGCGGAGGGTATGATGGGTGAACCTATAAAATTTAGGACAAGACCCAAGTAGGACAATGAGTTTCCAAGACTTGCTCATTGACTTTCAGCCCTATGAGATGTGAACAATGTCCACATTGTCTCGGTAACTCCACTCAGAGTATATAGTTTGAACCTTAGCAAATTTCTGATATTTCACTATTTTTGACTTACAAAAATATAATTTCATATAATTTATCCTACATTCATTGAATCTCTTCTTGTGGAGTCTAGTTAGAGCATATAGGAGATGTAGGAGAAGCTAGTATAGAAAGGTTAAAAGAGATTCATAATAAACACTATCCTGGGCCAGGTTTTCAGAGGATGCCTTAAGTTCTTTAGGCACCAAAGAACACCCCACAGATGTTCTCTGTCTGTAGGGTGATACCAAGTACTAAAGATCTCGGCTTCAGCTCCAGGGATTTTTCCCCATAAGAAAGAAAGAGCACTAAGTATAACTTTTGTCAGAGAACCTATGTAAGCTACAGGGATACAGGCTTTATAAAGACTGGACTTCAGAAAGAAAAGAAAGTAGATAATGGGGAGGCCACTGGGTACATCTTCACATATGAGGAAGAGGGGCCAATACCACATGTCCTGTGGAGGACATAACACAGGATCATCTAGGAGAGACCCTTTGAATTCCCTTGACTCTCACAAAATTTTGAGAAAAAAACCTCCTTTTGTCTGACTTAAGTCAACATAATAAAGGGAAGTGCTGTATGGGGAATTTATTTTAGCATCCTTTTTCTAAATCCTCTAAAGACCCTGAGGACATGTGATGCAAAGTTTTATTGGTAGAGATTTGAGAAGAAATGACCTGTATGGAGGCCCCTTACACAAGTCTCATGGAGAGGGCAAGTAGCCAAGCTCCTTTTGTGGAGGAAGTAATTTGGGATCCATGTGATAAAGATGGGCAATCCCTGTTGAAAACACCACAAATTCTTAAGGGACATGGCCTGGGCACAGTGACAAATTTAGGTCCCTACTTTAACCCCCTTATAGTAGCTCAGCAACCACAGGGTGCACTTAGGTCCGGTGTCCCCAGCCAAAGCCAGTGGGGAGCTCAGCACCATCAGTGTCACTGTCAGCGCTGCCATGCAGGAGCCTCCAGGGAGCCTCAGACACACCATGCTGGAGAACAGGACAGGACCAGGTGCCAGGGTAGCAGGCAAGTCTCACATTCACGGAGAACTATGACCTCCCTCTACTCACATCCCCAACACAGGGAGTAAGGTACTAATTTCTTTGCTCCTGGGTTGGGTAATCTCGTGTTGGAGAACCAATCAGCATCTGAGTTCAATAGCATCATCAGTTGCTGCTCAGAGATGCAGTATGAAGGTCAGCTTCTGAAACAATTTCCTCCTTTAAATGATTGTTTTAATTTAGTACTTGGAAGGTTTGATCCAGTTGCATGTAGAACACTTTAACTGGGTCCTTATTGTGAGCCAGCTCTGTGCTGGTCAGTGATGTGTTCACAAGTTTGAGACTTGTAAGAGCATTCATTTCCCACTTGACAAGACAACTGTTTGCAGAAGTGAGTGTGTGAGTGTGTTTAGGAGTAAAGGAGATGGAGGGAACATGGTTGTAAATCTGGAGACCTGTAATCTAGTCCTTATTGCACCATATCTTAATGTCATAGATTTGGGAAAATTACTTCATGTCTCACAGTTGAAATGAAGGCACTGCGATCTTTCAGGTCTTTCAATACTGGAAAATGCTGTGATTCTGTGGACGCCTCAAGTAGCAACAGCCCCTGGGTATCTGATGATAGGACAGAATGACAGCTGTTAACTGGAGAGGGTATTCTGTACCTATTTCCAGGTAGGGATGTCTTTAATAAGTTAAAGGAAATGGAAAGTTTGTTAATAATTTAATCTGAGATTAAATTGTTTTCAAGTGTGTCTCCTGATGCTGCCCCCAAGTTTAGTGGCACCTCCAGAACACACACAGGAAGGGGCTTGCAGGGACCACCTATGTGCAATGGAGGGTCTGAAGGTGCCTTTGTATAGCACTTACCCTAACAATGTGATAAGGTCAACTGTGCAATCGAAGTATTCAGGGGTCTGAGAGATTGATCAAGGACTCAAAGTCAGCTGTTGACAGAACAACACTGCTGTAAAATAATTAATATTTTATGTGAAGAGTGTTCAATCCCTCATTCCTGGTTCCCATTAGGATTTCCTCATTTGATTGAGGTTATGGCCCTTTACTATTATGCTTCTTTTGATTTATCATAAGGGAAGATATAAGAAGACTGTGCTAACTAATACGTTACAGAATGTTCAGGAAAGAGAACCCTAGGGAAAAACTATGAATTACATCAGCTGATGTAATCATGTAATTTTAAACATATAATTCTACATTTAGATAATTATTATGCTTTATACTAATATAAATGTGACATCTAAGATTCAGAATGGACTTCAAAGTACGGCTATACATATAAAGCTCTGCATTAATTCACACTGTACCACAGTTCTGATAGGCACTCCTTCCTTATGTGCCTTAGTGTTTCCAGGAGCAGGATTCTCACCATGCTGCGATAAAAATGAGCATTTGACTTTGTACTCAGAATTGTACTAAAAACTTTCTATGCTTCATATTTTTATTTAATTCTCACATCAGCTCAGTAAAATAAACACCGTTTTCATGCTTACAGGTGGAGAGACTAAAATGATGGAGATAAAACAAATTTTGCCAAGATACACTAGTAAACGGTACACTATAGATTGAGCCAAATTATATACCTCTCAAGCTCAGTCATTAGATCATACTCCTTCAGAAAGAAGGGGAAAAGCAAAAGAAAAAGAAAAAAGAAACAAATTTGTGAAAAAAAGAAACTAATTGTGATAGTAGTAATCCAGGAAATCAGCTAAGGTTCACGTTAGTATTTCAGGATAAAAGGGTGGTGATGCTGGCAGTGGCGAGCTGTCCAGAGTGGCCGGCTACAGCGGGAAGTTGCAAGCGGTGGCGGCAGGAGCCACTGAGGGAGTAGTGGCCGTGGTGGGACCTTTGTGCCCCATGTCCCCTGTGCCTCGCGTCACTGAGGCAGCTGACTGCACTGACCCCACTCTTGAACAGCCAGCAGGACTGCCCCCAGGCCCAGAGCCTTCACTCCTGCGTTGCTGTTCTCACCTTGCAGTCGTGGGGAGAGCATGGAGCTGGGGCCACCCTTCAGTGACCCGGGGTGGGACATGGGAGTGGCCTCACTTTGAGGACCCGCCCTGCCAAGGGCGCCCAGTTCCTGCGCCTCAGGAAGAGGCTCTGCTTGAGGCTGTCCAGGGTTTTGTCCCCGCGGGTGGCCACCCAGCCTGATGCTCCTGACAGCCAGGCCCGGGCTGTGATCTGTTCCCCAAGGTGCCTCCCCCGCCCCATCCAGGCGAGAAGGAGCCCCGGGCACCCTGAGTGCTAGCAGAATAACTTGCAGAGACATCACCCTTGCCCCAGATGCTGGCCTGCGCCCAGCGAGGGGAGCTGCCCACCCCAGGCTGCCAGAAGGTGTGACAGGGGATACCTGCAGGCTCCATGGAATGGGTTGGAAACCCCACCCTCCCGGCCCTCCCCACAGGCAACACGATCCAGGCCTCTCTACACTCCACTCCCTCAAGGCTGAGAAGGCCCTCCTGTCCATGCAGGCTTGGGGGTGTCTGTTCCCACTTTCTGGCCTCTCCTTTGGCCTCACCCGGGTCCCAGGTGCCCACTCTGATCTCAGAGTGGAGTTGGGGCAAAGCCCCAGTGCTGTCACAGACTGGCTGGGTGTGTGCACGTTCAGGGCAGTGTTGACACACCAGGCTTTTGCCACCTCAGTCACAGGGAAGCCAAGGGAAGATGGGCATGTAATATTTGAAGTAAGTTTCTTATAGGGAGCATGTCGAAGAGTCATTGCTTTTCACTCTGGCATTTGTCTTTTTACACACTTTACATGTAATGCAATTATTAATATGTGAGCTCTTATGACTGCCATCTGCTTTTTGTTTTCTTTTTTGTTTCCTTTGGTTTTTTCTTCTCTGGTTTCTTTTCCTATTTTCCAATGTGTTCCTTAAGCAATTTTTAGAATTCCATTTTTAAATCAATCTTTTTTTGGTGTATCTCATTGTATAGTTTTCGTGATTTATCTGTCTGTTAACATAACTTATCATAGTCTACTGGTGCTGACATTTTACCAATTTGACTAAAGTGTGGAAACTTTACCTCCTTTATAATCCTTTCCACTTCTGCATGTGTAATATATATGTTTTATTTTCTCTACTTGCATCAAAATCACATCTTGTCAGTGTTGTAATTTTTGCCTCAACCATCAAGTTAATTTACAAAACTGAAGAAGTCTGTTGTATCTAACCATATTTTTACTCATTTGCTGTTTACTTTTTTCCCAATTGTCCAAGATTTCTTCCATTATCATTTCTATTCCAGTTAAAGCACTTCCTTTAGCCCTTGTTTTAACATAAGTCTGCTAGCATGAAATTCTCTTGATTTTCCTTCCTCTAAGTATGTCATGGCCATGTGCAGTGGCTCACGCCTGTAATCCCAGCACTTTGGAAGGCCAAGGCAGGCGGATCCCATGAGCTCAGGAATTCGAGACAAGCCTGGGCAACATGGCAAAACCCTGTCTCTGCCAAAAATACAAAAAATTAGCCAGGCGTGGTGGTGTGTGTCTGTAACCCCAGCTACTCAGGAGGCTGAGGTGTGAGGATCACACGAGCCTGGGAGGCAAAGGCTGCAGTGAGCCGTGGTCGCGCCACTGCACTCCAGCCTGGGTTTTTTTTTTTTAAGATGGATCAAAACTCCATCTAAAAAACGAAAAACAAACAAAAAAAGAAAAATAAAAGAAAAAAAAAGTCATGATAGAACATTTTATAATAATGTTTTTACTGGATATACATTCTAGGTTAACATTCCTTTCAGCCGTTAAAATATCTTGTGCCACTTCTGTCTGGTCTGCATGATTTCTAATGAGCAATCCACTGTCATTTAATTTATTTTCTCCTGTGCATGAGATGTCCTTTCTCTCTTGTTGCTTCCGAGATTTTTTTTGGCATAAATTTCTTTGGATTTATTTTCATTTGGGTTTGCACAGATTCTTGAATTTTTACATTTAAGCCTCTGTCCAAATTTGGAAAGCAGTCAGTCTTCCTTCAAGCACTCTTTGGGCATCACCCATTTGTCATTTCCCTCTAAGACTCCAGTGACACAAATTTCATACCTTTTGTTATAGTCTTACAGATTTATCAGCATGAAATAATACTAAATATTATGAACAAGGAAGATCCTGTCAAAAAAAAAAAAAACACACACACACAAAGAAAGAAAAAAGAAAAGAAGAAATTGTGAAAAAAAGAAACTAATGGTGATGATGGTAATCTAGGAAAGCCATCTAAGGTTCACCTTAGCATTTTAGGATAAAAGGGTGGTGATGATGGCAGTGGCGAGCTGTCCAGAGTGGCTAGTTGCAGTGGTAAGTTGCAAGCGGTGGTGGCAGGAATGACTGTGGGAGCAGTGGCCATGGTGGGACCCCTGTGCCCCATGTCCCCTGTGCCTTGTGTCCCTTAGGCAGCTGACTGTGCTGCCCCAACCCTTGAGCAGCCAGCAGGACCTGCCCCCAGGCCCAGAGCCTCCACCAGTCCTGCATTCCTGCTCTCATCCTATAGCTGTGGGGAGGGCATGAAGCTGGGGCCATGCCTCAGGGGCCTGGGGTGAGAAGTGGGAGTTGCCCCACTTTGGGGACCCATCCAGCGGCAAGGCCACTGTCCCACCCTGCCGAGGGAGCACTGTTCCTGGGTCTCAGGAGGAGGCTCTGTCTGAGGCCGCCCAGGGTTGTGCCCTCGGGGGTGGCCACCGAGCCTGATGTTCCCCATGGCCAAGCCCTGCTGAGATCTGCTCCCCAAGATGCCTCCCCGACCTTATCCAGGCGAGGGAGATCCCTGGGCACCCCTGAGTTCTAAGAGAAGATCTTGCAGAGACATCACCTTTGCCCCAGATGCCGGCCTGGGCCCAGTGAGTGGAGCTGCCCACCCCAGGCTGCGAGGTGTGACAGGGGCTACCTGCCGGCTCCACGGATTGGGTGGGAGACCCACCCTCCCACAGCAGGATCCAGGCCTCTCTGCGCTCCACGCCCTCAAGGCCGAGAAGGACTCCGTGTCCCTGCAGGTTCCGGGGTGTCTGCTCCCACTGCCTGGCCTCTCCCCTGGTCTCTCCCAGCTCCCGCTCTGATCTCAAAGTGGAGTCGGGCCCAGTCCCGTTGCTGTCACAGCCTGGTCAGGTGTGCGCACACTCAGGGCAGCATTGACATATCAATCTCTTGCCACCTCAGCCATGGGGAAGCCGGGGGAAGCTGAGGGAAGATGGGCTGAGGGAAACTGGTGTGGCCTACAGGTGCCCCTTGGCATGAGCAGCCTGGTCACCATGGATAGCAGTGGGAGGCAAACAGCTTCCTGGGAAGAAAGAGGCAGGTCTCTGGTGAGGCCCTGCTCACCAGGCTGGGCTGCCAGTCCTGCTGACAGCAGTGGGAACTTGTGCCTTTTCTGGGCCTGCCCCATGGCCGCCCATGATGTGCACTTCCTCCCCTCTGAGGTCCGTAAAAGCCCTGGGCTCAGGCCGACTTGAGCAGAGGATGGAGAGAGGACAGGGAGATGAGGGATGAACTGCTGCAGAGAGGAGTTGCCCTCCCCAGGGTCTCCTCTCTGCTGAGAACTGAGGAGAGAATAGGATGTTCAGCTGCAGAGAGGAGCTACCCTCTCTGCTGAGAGCTGAACAGGTGTCAGGACAACCTGGCTATGGAGAGAAGCTGCCCACTGCAGGTCTCTGAGCTGTTCTATGGCTTAATAAAGCTCCTCTTTGTCCTGTTCACCCTCCACTTGTCTGCATACCTCATTCTTATTGGACTCAGGACAAGAACTGGGGATCTGCCAAATGGTGAGGCTAAAAAAGCTGTGACACAAACACGGCTGAAACATGCCCCTTGCTCACCATGTCGTGAGCAAAGAGAAGGAGGGAAGAGCTGTGGCTCTTCAGGGAGCCCAAACCTGGGAGCTCACTGAGCCAGGGCTGTGACTCACTTTTTGGGGCCTGTGATTCCTGGGGTCTCCAAGCTTCCAGGTGCCACGTTGTTCCCCAGTGCCAGCTGTGGAAGCTGCTTGTGGTGTGCCTGGTCTAGCTGCAGCCTCACAGGGAGCTGACACCCATGGCAGCACCTAGAGCTGCCTGCCCTGCACAGACAACCTGCCTGGCTTTGCACAGTGGCTGGACCCCATGCTCAGTTGCTCACACATCCCTCGACACCTGATTCACCCTTGGCAGGTGTGGGATCCAGGCCGGTAGTGTGAGCTGAGCACTGCATGCCAGGCAATGTGGGTGGAATGAGCCCAGCTGGCCCGAGTAAAACTCAGGCAAAGGCATTACCAGCCACAGGATTCTGGGAAGAAAAGCAACACCCCAATGATCCCGTAACAGTGACATGGTTAGCCTGGCTCTGTTTCCCCCACCAAATCTCATCTTAAACTGTAAGCCCCATAATCTCCACATGTCCAGTGTGGGACCTGGTGGGAGGTGATTAGATCATGGGGGCCGTTTCCCCCATGCTGTTCTTGTGATAGTGAGTGAGTTATCACGAGATCTGATGGTTTTTATAAGTGTTTGACAGTTCCTCCTATGGGTACATTCTCTCTCGCCTGCTACTGTATAAGATGGCCCCCTTCCTCTTCCGCCATGATTGTAAGTTTCCTGAGGCCTTCTTATCCATACAGAACTGTGAGTCAATTAAACCTTTTTCCTGCCAGACACAGTGGCTCATGCCTGTAATCCTAGCACTTTGGGAGACCTAGGCGGGTGGATTAGGAGGTCAGGGGATCAAGACCCTCCTGGCTAACACGGTGAAACCCTGTCTCTACTAAAAATACAAAAATTAGCTGGGGCTGGGTGTGGTGGCTCACACCTGTAATCCCAGCACTTTGGGAGGCCAAGGTGGGCAGATAACCTGAGGTTGGGAGTTCGAGACCAGCCTGACCAGCATGGAGAAATCCTGTCTCTACTAAAAAAATACAAAAATCAGCCGGGCATGGTGGCGCATGCCTGTATTCCCAGCTACTCGGGAGGCTGAGGCAGGAGAATTGCTTGAACCAGGGAGGCGAACGTTGCAGTGAGCCGAGATTGCGCCATTGCACTCCAGGCTGGGCAACAAGAGTGAAACTTAGTCTCAAAAAAAAAAAAAATTAACCAGGCATTGTGGCATGCGCCTGTAGTCCCAGTTACTTGGGAGGCTGAGGCAGGACACTCACTTGAACCCAGGAGGCAGAGGTTGCATTGAGCTAAGTTCGCAACACTGCACTCCAGCCTGGTGACAGATCGAGATTCCATCTCAAAAAAAGAAAAAAAAAGGAAATTTTTTTTCTTTGAGATGGAGTCTTGATCTGTCGCCAGGCTGGAGTGTGATGGCATGATCTCAGCTCACTGCAACCTCTGCCTCGTGGGTTCAAGCGACTGTCCTGCCTCAGCCTCCCAAGTAGCTAGGACTACAGATGAGCACCACCACGCCCAGCTAATTTTTTTTTTTTTTTGTATTTTTAGTAGAGATGGGGTTTCACCTTGTTGGCCAGGATGGTCTCGATCTCTTGACCTTGTGATCTGCCCACCTCGGCCTCCCAAAGTGCTGGGATTACAGGTGTGAGCCACCACGCCTGGCCCCTTTTTCTTTATAAATTACCCAGTCTCAGGTATTTTCTGATGGCAATGTAAGAATGAACTATTACAGGCAGCAAACAAAAGTAATTATTTATCAATAACATACTGAAATAGTGTTAATGGGGGCATTTTCAAAACTTGTTCCCATGATTTTATTATCTCCATGAAATGCTTCTGGAATATACCACATAGAATTCTTTCTCTACTGTGCAATTTTCTGAACATTCTATGGGGACGTTTTTCATTTACTTATTGCTTCAAGTTTCTTCAAATAGTAATTCTTCCGAAATACTATACTATTTTGATGGTTCCTGGATGAATTTTCTGGTGTTTGAACTGGTTATTTGCAGTGAAGGGAGCTAGAGGATTTATGTGATCCCTTCATCCTGAATTGTCTGAATGTCGAATGTATCATATAAGCTCTGGAATTGTTAAGAGTAGGCAGAGAGCCAGAAATGAGCAGGCAAGGGAGTCCCTGGGAAAAGAAGTCCTGGAGTCACTGCCCACTGATAATCAGCACTGCACACTAGTAGTAAAAAGGACAATGGCTTACACTGGCTACATCTGGCCTTGTGGTTGGGCTCCTCTGGCCCTGGAGGGGACTTAACAGGCCTTAGCCACAAACAGCCATGGCAGGGACTTTCTCCACTGATGAAATGGTGCATTCCTCCAATAACTTACCTAGAATAGCCTTTTGCTCACTATAATAGTAAAAAACACAGCTCTGGGTGGAGATTTTTAATACTGAGGCATGCAACATGTGCAGTAGCAAGTACAAGACAGAGCATGCGCACCCAAAGAGTCTTCCTGAAACATGTTTGCAAGTAACACCCCCTCAGGCCCCTTCATGAATAATCATGTGAGATTCTCATAAAGAGACTCCTTCAGCACTGACTGCTGCTGGCTCCTCCTTTTGAGCAGCTTACACTGTCTCCTCTTTCAGAGCGTACTGTCTCTTTAAATAAACACGGCTACTACTATTTTTCCAGCTGGAACATCCCAGAGCTGTTTTCCACTCCTCTCTAGGAATGTACTTTATCTTGCTTCAATAAACTCTGCTACTCAACCGTTGCTATGCATCTCTTGGCTGAATTCTTTCTTCCAAGTTAGACAAGAATGGAAGATTTGTACACTTCTTAGAAACAGAATTAATCAGAAATATCCAGGCTCATTGGGTTGGTCTCTTTCTGAGCATGTGCAGGCAATTCTATTGCTGTGGTCTAGTCCTCAGCAGGACAACGCTAAAGTAGGGTTTGTTTGTTGGGAGATCTCTGCTGGGCGATTGGTTCAGCAACAGTTTTTGGTTCTTGAGCCTGCAGGTCAATGACATGTCTGTATCTTCAGTAGAGTGAATCTGAAACCCCGGGATTTGGCCTCTGAGAATGGGTGAGACAGATGGAGAGGAGGAGATAGAGGGTAGACTGTGGAGCAGAATGAGAAGAAGACCCACAAATATTACAAGATTTACATATCAGCATTGCTCATTCTAGACTTCAAGAGGAATGAGATTAGACACTGCAGATTGACATTGCCTGTTCCTTTAGAAAAAGCCTTGGATGCCTGTTTTATTACCAGGAGAACAGTCTGACTTATTACTGAAACCATTATATATTTGGACATGTGTATTTGGGTGGAAAAACTGAGTAATGGGAGCAGTGGCAGGACACGTCATTAAGGTGAGAAGAAAATATTAGAAAAACAGTGAGCTATTGCTCATTTGTCTATAAAAGTATGATGATACTTATTTCTAAAATGGTTACTAGAACCTACCACAAACCATAAAGGTGAATTATCAATGACAGTGTGATAGACTGCAAATAAATATTGAGTTAGATTTGGATTTCATCTGGGCTGTATCATGTACTAGGTATGTTTTCACTTGTATCCTACTTATCTTAGCCTCAGATTCCTCATAAAAATACTGCTGTTAATTTTTACTACATTGAATTATTATCAGAATTAAAGGAAAAATGTAAGCAAAGTAATTAGGTACCATGTTTGGTGATCATAAAATATTGCAAAAACTAAACTTTCCATTGTTTTCATCAAAATTTCTACAGCCGAATTTTATAAAATAAAACAATCACACACCAAGGAGGCACAACCTTGTAACACTTACTAATAAATAACAAGTTTCTCTACCTATGGTTTATAGAATCCAAGCAGAATTTTGAGAATATTACAGATAGAATAGGCGTACATATTTTGTAACATATCTATAATTTCAATATAAGATAAGTAGATGAGCAATATAGAATGCAGTAAATGCAGACAAATATGGAATAAAAAAGCAAAAATAAATCCATATCATTCCACGTAACAAAACCATTTTTTAAAGTAGTTTTAGGTGTAAAGAAAAATTGTGGAGAAATTTCAGGTAGTTCCCACATCCCTTCTTTCCTAAAACAGCCCTCTGCTCAGTTTCTCCTATTACTAACATCCTGCATCAGTGTGGTACACTTGTTACAAATGATGAACCAATACTGATACTTACGTTAACTGAGGTCCATAGTTGAATTAGGGTTCATTCATATTATACAGTTCTATGGGTTTTGATCAATACATAACATCATATATTCACCATTAAAGTCAAACTGACCCGAGTCCCATAGACAGTTTTTCTTTTAAATCTGCATTTAAATGGACACTTCTGATCTTAAATTTAAACTTATATTTGTCTCATCTGAGTTTCTTTGCAAAAAAAGATTCCCCAGGCCTCTTAAAAAGTATCAAAGAACTGGAACTCACCAGATCGTCTCATCCAAACAATGAGACTCCAGGTTCCCCATTCATCATGATTGTTCCCTTACCCCTCTCTAGTTCCTGTTTTCCCATACATAGTTACATTTCTTCCCTGCTAGATAAACTCCTAATTGTAGTCAGTCACAGAGATGGATTTGACACTGGTCTCCCATCTCCTCAGCTGCAGCACCTGATTAAAGATTAAAGCCTTCTTCTTTGGCAGTGCTCATTGTCATCTCAGTGGTTGGCTTTGTGTGTGGTGAGCAGCAAGATCCAGACCAAAGCCCTTGTGTGCAAGACCTAGACTGAACCCCTGGTGTTTCAGTAACAAAAGTATCCTACAAAGTAGTTTTGCTGACCTAAAATTGTCCCAGGCTCCACCTATTCATCTATTCTTCTTCCTCCTGAACCCCTGGAAACCACTATTTACTGTATGTATTTTTGCCTTTTCCAGAATGTTATATAGTTGTAATCATATGGGATATAGTTTTTTTTTAGCTGGCTTCTTTCACTTAACAATATGCATATAGGTTTTCTCCATGTCTGTTCATAGCTTGATAGCTTATTTCTCTTTAATTTTAAATGATAACCCATGATATAGATATACCACAATTTGTTCACCCACTCACTTACTGGAGGACATTTTGGTTGCTTTGAATTTTTGGCAATTATGAATAAAGCTTCTATAAACATTCGTATACACTTGTTTGTATGGACAGAATTTTCCACTCATTTGGGTAATACTCAGGATTGAAATTGCTGAATCTTATGGCAGAGTATGTTTAGCTTTGTAAGAAACAGCTAGAGTGTCTTCCAGGCATGGTGGCTCACTCCTGTAATCCCAACACTTTGAGATGCCAAGTCGGGCAGATCACGAGGTCAAGAGATTGAGACCATCCAGGCCAATGTGGTGAAACCCCATCTCTACTAAAAATATAAAAATTATCCGGGGGTGGCAGTGTGCGCCTGTAATCCCAGCTACTTGGGAAGCTGAGGCAGGAGAATTGCTTGAATGGGGGAGGTGGATGTTGCAGTGAGCTGAGATCATGGCACTGCACTCCAGCCTGGCAAAAGTGCAAGACTCCATCTCAAAAGGAGCTAGACAAATCCATGGTATTTCAGTAACAAAAGCATCATACAAAGTAATTTCCCTAACTATGCCTGAGGCTCAACCTATTCACCCATCTCTGCTCCTCCTGAAACCCTGGTCTATTTACTCTCTGTATTTTTGCCTTTTCCACAGTGTCATATAGTTGTGCTTTTACAGTATAGAGCTTTTCAGCCTGGCTCCTTCCACTTAGCAATATGCCTATAAGTTTGTTCCATGTGTCTTCATAGCTTAATAGCTTATTTCTCTTTACTGTTGAACAATACCCCATGGTATGGATATATCACAATTTCTTTATCAATTCACCTATTGTGGACATCTTGGGGGCTTCAAGTTTTTGGCAATTATGAATAAAACTGCTATAAACATTCATGTATGGGTATTTGTGTGGATATAAGTTTTCCACTCATTTGCTCAGAGGTGCCATTGCTGGATTGTATAGTAAGAGTATGTTGAGCTTTGTAACAAACAGCCAGAGAGCCTTTCAAAGTGACTGTACTGTTTTGCATTCCCGCCAGCAATGAATCAGAGTCCTTGTTTTTCTAAATCCTTGCCAGCATTTGGTTCTGTGAGGGTTTTGGATTTCAGCCAGAAAATAAAAAATGCTTTTTAAAAACGTTTTACTTTGAAATCATTATAGAGTCACAAGAAATTGCAAAGACAGAACAGAGAACATATGTGTGCCCTTTCACCCAGATTTTCCAAATGTTTATATTTTAAGTAGCTCTAGTGAGAGGTGAAGCCGGCTGGGCTTCTGGGTCAGGTGGGGTCCTTGGTAGAAGTTGTTAGTTGAGCTCATTTTGGGTTCTATTTGTAAGACCATCTGTAGCTTGATGGCCTCGATTCTAGAGGAAACAAATTTGACAAGGAGGTTAAAAATACAGGGCCCGAAGGCGAGTAATAGCAAGATGGCTGCCACGGGACCTAGAAAGGGGAGAAGCCATGTTGCCCAACTCCAGAGGTTGGTATAAGAGTTTGAAAGGCATTGTCTGATTTCAGAAGCCTTTTCCTGTGGGAAGGCTTAAGGCTGGAGCTTGAGTTCGTTCCTTCCAATGCCCAGACTTCAGAGTTGATTCCCTCCTCAATCAGGGAACAACAAATGGATAACTTTTTCCCCATATTTATGTAGATAATGTCTCCAGCTTTGGCTAATACGTCCCTCCCTAAAAAAGGTATGGGACTTTCAGGCATAACAAGAAAGGCATGTGAAAAGAGCAAAGTCTCCCAATTACAGCTGAGGAAGTGGGAGAAATACCTGGTTACAGGCTGTCCCGGGATTCTTTGGATGGTAACAGACCTTGGGGACAGCTGTCCGGGACCGGAGATTAACACTGAGAAAGCCATGCCGGCGTCCAGGAGGAAGTCAATTTCCTGGCCCTCAATGGTTAAACGTACCCTGGGCTCAGTGAGGGTGAGGAAATGAGCTGGCGCTTGCCCCGGGCACCCTCAGTCCTGTTGTTGGATCATCTGGTTGGGAGCTTCTGGTCCAGAGAACCTTTGTCCTCTGGGGCAGTGCGCCTTCCAGTGATTGCCTCGGCATAGTGGACATGGGTGAGGGGGCAGCTTGTTTCTCATTGGACAATCTTTTTTAAAGTGTCCTTGTAAACCACACTGATAACAAGCCCTACTGGGTGACTGGCGTGCTCCATTTTCTGTCCTTTCTGAACCACCAAGGTGTATTTGTCTGAGGGCCATGACTAAGGCTGAGGCCTTTCTCTGATCTCGCCATTCCTTTTGGGCCTGTTCCTCTTGATCCCTATTATAGAACACCGAGGTTGCCAGGTTTAATAATGCCTCCAGATTTTGTTCAGGGCCCAGGGCTCGCTTTCGGGGCTTTCTTCTGATATCTGTGGCTGATTGGGTAATAAACTTATCTTTTAGGATCAAGTGACCCTCTAGTGAGCCGAGTGGCAGGAAAGTATATTTTCTTAAGGCCTGCCATAGCCATTTGAAGAAGGCAGAAGGATTTTCTTCCTTTCCTTGAGTTATGGTGGACATCATTGAATAATTCATGGGCTTTTTCCTAATTCTCCTTAGTCCTTCTAGAACACAGGTCAATGGATGTTTACAATTCCAGTCCTCATGATCTGAGTCTAGATCCCAGTGGGGATCCATACTGGGGAAGGCTTGCTGACCAGTAGGGAATTTGTCCATTTCTTCAGCTGTCATTCTGTCATTTACTTGACTAAGATACCAGGTATCTCCAAACTCTAGGGCTGCAGCTAAAGCCACATTCTTTTCATTAAATGCCATGGTTTGATCTAACAATAGCATGACATTTCTCCAAGTGAGATCGAGGGTTTGCCCTAGACCCTGTAGGACATCTATGTACCTATCAGGATCATCTGAAAACTTCCCTGGGTCTGCCTTGATCTGCTTTAAATCAGAGAGGGAGAAGGGAACATGTACCTGGGTTGGGCCAAATTCCCCTCCCCCTAAAGCTTGAAGGGGACATAACTGATAGTCAGGGAGGTTTTGTGGTCCCTTGGAGATTTATTTGCTTGTTTCCTTATGGGTGGGGGAGATTGGAAAAAGCTTATTAATAGGAAGGTGAGCTATAGGGAGGCTAGGATATGGTGGTAAGCTGAGAGGTCCTCTGTGGGATGTAAATTGCAATCTTTGCATAGTTGTGTATTTTCCTTCAATGAAAAGAAAGGTTGGACATAAGGTATTTCACTCAATTTACCTTCCCTCTTACAGAAAATGTCAAGCTGCAGGATAGTATTGTAATTTATACTTCCCTCAGGTGGCCATTTTTCCCCATCAGAGAGAGAACATTGGGGCCAAGCCATAGTGCAGAAAAAAATGAGCCACCTCTTTTTCAGGGTTTGAAGGTCAAATTGGTCTAATGGCTTAGGATGTATTTCAAGGGTGAGCCTGTTGATGCCTGAGTGTTTCCCATCTGAAAGACAAAACCACCCGCGGTTTTGGTTTGTTTGTTTCTCCCCCTCCCCAAGAACCTGCAACAGTCCCTGGACCTTGCTGATTGGAATAGTTGTGCTCACCAACACAGCAGCAGAAACACCTCTTGCCCAAGAACCCAAAATTGTCCCTGGACCCTGCTGATCAGAATAGTTGTGCTCACCAATGCAGCAGCAGAAACACTAGTTTTCCTCCTAGACCACAAGGAGGACTGAGGAAGGTCGGATTTAGTGGCCCTTTCTGACGCATTCTCGAAAACCTGCTAGAGTCCTAAGCATTCTCCCGTTAGTATTGGGATCTTACCACTGTCCTATAAAGATGTTATGCCCCAAAAATGAAATGGAGGGCCATACCCTGAGGGAGGGAAAGGATCTCCAGAGTTGGATGAGTGATGCCTTTTGTCCTCAATTATATGAATAGGAAAGATACTATTTCTGAAGTTCCCCATATCCTAGCTTCAGGAATAGCTTTTGTTAGGTCTGCTAGTCTGAGGAGGGATCCTAAAATTCCAGAGAGTCCCCTCCTTGACGGGGCTTTGGGCAAAAATTACATCTTTCTGATTGGTGAGTCCGGGTGCCTAAAGAAGGGAATAGAGTCCTGGAGTTTATACTAGAAATCATTCCTATAGGAGAAACTAGAAAAGCACCAGAGACAGGGAGTGGTTTTTAGAAGCAAGACTAGCCTCGGAGAAGAGAGGCAAGAGGAAGTTTGTTGGACAGGCGTTAGGACCCAGGAGACAAGGGTCAGGATAGATAGGATACATGGGCGAGTCTTGCTTGGGTGACATGACTTTGAGAGCTCCGCTCATGGCCGCAGGGTCAACCAACTTTTTGTCGGGAACCCCGGAGCTGAATGGCTTTCCTCCCTGTCAACCCTCAGCTCAGTCAGGAAGTACAGTAAAAGCAGAAGCTGGTTCCAGGCAAACCAACGCTCCCAACTCCGAAGAGTTGGGGGTTGTTACAGAGCCCTTTCCCAGAAAGCCTGTCACCGGTGTCTTTAGTCCAGCAGCCACACTCGTTGCTTTTAACTGGCTGACAGGTGCCTGGTATTTAGCCCCCGAATTCCAAGGAAAAATAGCACAGAAAACCAAGCAAGAGGGGTCTGATGGTACTCACCACTTGGTGATAATCGATGGTCCCATCTGGGTCACCAAATGTGTCCTTTCATGGTTGCCAAAATGTATCCAGAATTGGTTCCTTCTGGTGGGTTCTTGGTCTTGCTGACTTCAAAAATGAGGCCATGGACCCTCGCGGTGTGTCCGGAGTTTGTTCCTTCCCACTGTTCAGATATGTCCAGAGTTTCTTCCTTCTGGTGGGTTCGTGGTCTTGCTGACTTCAGGAGTGAAGCCACAGACCTTTGCAGTGAGTGTTACAGCTCTTGAAGGTGGAGCGTCCAGAGTTGTTTGTTCCTCCTGGTGGGTACGTGATCTCACTGACTTCAGGAATGAAGCTGTAGACCTTCGTGGTGAGTTTTACAGCTCATAAAAGTAGTGTGGACCCAAAGAGTGAGCAGCAGCAAGATTTATTGTGAAGAGCAAAAGAACAAAGCTTCCACAGCATGGAAGGGGACCCAAGCGGGTTGCCACTGCTGACTCAGGTGGCCAACTTTTATTCCCTTCTTTAGGCACCCAGACTCACCAATCAGCACTCTGTAAAAATGCACCAATCAGTGCTCTGTGTCTAGCTAAATGTTTGTACATGCACCAATCAGCACTCTGTAAAAATGCACCAATCAGTGCTCTGTGTCTAGCTAAAGGTTTGTAAACACACCAATCAGCACTCTGTAAAAATGGACCAATCAGCACTCTGTAAAATGGACCAATCAGCAGGACGTGGGTGAGGCCAAATGAGGAAATAAAAACTGGCCACCCCAGCCAGCAGCGGCAACCCACTCCGGTCCCCTTCCATGCTGTGGAAGCTTTGTTCTTTTGCTCTTCACAATAAATCTTGCTGCTGCTCACTCTTTGGGTCCGCACTACCTTTATGAGCTGTAACACTCACCGCAAGAGTCTGCGGCTTCATTCTTGAAGTCAGTGAGACCATGAACCCACCAGGAGGAACAAACAGCTCTGGACACACCACCTTTAAGAGCTGTAACACTCACTGCGAAGGTCTGCAGCTTCACTCCTGAAGTCGGCGAGACCACGAACCCACCAGAAGGAAGAAACTCTGGACACATCTGAACATGGGGAAGGAACAAACTCCGGACACACCATCTTTAAGAACTGTAACACTCACTGCAAGGGTCTGTGGCTTCATTCTTGAAGTCAGCGAGACCAAGAACCCACCGGAAGGAACCAATTCCAGACACACTAGCACAGTAGCAAAACCAGGAAACTGACTTTGGTATAATATGTGTCCATTGTTCTATGCCTGTGTCTTATCATATTTGCAGATTTATGTAACCACCACACAATCCAATGGAGAGCTATTCCATCCCACAGAGATCTCCCACCATGCTGCCCTTTAGAGTCATGCCCTACTCCTTACACACTGTCACCCTGACAACTGACAACCACTAATCTGTTCTCCACCAATCTCTAGAATAGTGTCATTTTGAAAATGTTACATAAATAGAATCACACAGTATGTGGTTTTTGTGACTGGCATTTTCCCTTCAGCATAATGTCCTTGAGATCCATCCAAGTTGTTGCATGTATCAACAATTTGCTCTTTTTTATTGCTAAGGAATACTTCATTAGATGGAGCCACTGAAGTTTAACTATTTGCCTTTTGAGGGACATTTTGGCTGTTTCTAGTTTGGGGGCTATTACAAATAAAGCTGTTGTGAATGTGAACATTTGCACAAGATTTTTGTGTGAACATGTGTTTTTATTTCTCTGATATAAATGTCCCAGAATGTAATTCTTGGCTCATATGGCAAATATATGTCTAGTTCTTCAAGACACTGCCAAACTATTTTCTAGAAAGACTGTGCCATTTTACATTCTCACTATCAATGTGCGTGAAATCCAGTTTTTCTGCATTCTCACTAGCATTTACCATTGTTTTTTAAAAAAATTTAGCTGTATTAAGAGGTGTGGGGGGCCAGGGGCGGTGGCTCACGCCTTAATCCCAGCACTTTGGGAGGCCAAGGCAAGCGGATCATGAGGTCAGGAGATGGAGACCATCCTGGCTAACATGGTGAAACCCCGTCTCTATTAACAATACAAAAAATTAGCTGGGCGTGGTGACGGGCACCTGTAGTCTGAGCTATTCCTGAGGCTGAGGCAGGAGAATGGCATGAACCCAGGAGGCGGAGCTTGCAGTGGGCCGAGATCACGCTACTGCACTCCAGCCTGGGCGACAGAGGGAGACTCTGTCTTAAAAAAAAAAAAAAAAAAAAAAAAAAAAAAAGAGGTGTGTAGTGCTATTACATCAAGTTCTTAATTTGCATTTCCCTGATGGCTAGTGATTTGCATGTCATTCATTGTGCTTATTTGCCATATACACATATCTTCTGTGATAAAATGTGTCTTCATATCTTTTGCCCATTTTGTAATTAAATTTCATAGTCTGCACTCTATAGATTTTATAGTAAAGCTTTTATAGTTGATTATATATTCTAGATAATGTATTTTTGGTAATATATGTGGTTTTAAATATTTTCTCCATGTCTTTAGCTTACTTTTCATTTCTTAGCAGGATACCTTACAGAAAAACAGTTTTAAATTTTGATAAAGCCCCATCTATTGATTTTGTTTGTTTTTTGTATTTGTGTGTTTTTTTGTTTTTGTTTTTGTTTTTTTCCAAGACAGTCTTGCTCTGTAGCCCAGGCTGGAATGCAGTGGCACAATCTTGGCTCACTGCAAGCTCCACCTCCCGGGTTCATGCCATTCTCCTGCCTCAGCCTCCCATGTAGATGGGACTACAGGTGTCCGCTACTATGCCCGGCTAATTTTTTGCCCGGCCTGCGTTTTTGTTTTTTACACACAGAGTTTTGGTGTCATGTCTACAAACTCAGAACTCAGACACCAGGCCCTAGCTCCTGACGATTTTCTCATATGTTTTTCGAAACCTTTAACGTGTAGACATGATTTAATTGGGGGTAAATGTTTTCATGAGATGTGAGAATTTGTTACGTTTCTTTCTTGCATCTTTTTCCTCTGCTTCCTTTTTTATTTTGTTTGGTTTTGTTTTTGTCTATGGATTTCCACTTTCTCCTGGACCGTATTTTGAAAAGACTATAGACTATATTACCTCCATTGAATTATTATGATTCTTTGTCAAAATGAATTGGCATAGGCGTTTCCCTATGTTGGTCAGGTTGGTCTGGAAATCCCGATCTCAAGTGATCCGCCTGCCTTGGCCTCTCAAAATGCTGGGATTACAAGTGTGAGCCCCAGAGTTCTACCCTCATATTCTTTTTTTCCCTTCTTGCTTTAGGTTATTTTGGACTGCTTTTTTAGATTCTTGAGGTGGGAACTGAGATTATTGGTTTCTGACCTTTTCTCTTTTTCAGTGTGTACATTTTGTACTATAAATAGTTTTTCAAAGCACTGCTTTAGCTAATGACCAAAGATTTTGATATGTTATATTTTCATTTTCACTTAGTTGAATACATTTTTTATTTTCCTTAAGACATCTTTTTTGATCCACAGGTAATTTAAAAGTA
This sequence comes from Homo sapiens, assembly GCF_000001405.40. NCBI lineage: Eukaryota > Metazoa > Chordata > Mammalia > Primates > Hominidae > Homo > Homo sapiens. The sequence continues at coordinate 3,845,626 of NT_167247.2, forward strand.
TGTTATTTAGTTTCCATGTGTTTGGAGTTGTACCGATTTTCTTCACGTTATTGATTTCTGGTTCAACTCCATTGCTTCCAGAGAACACAGTCTGTATGATTTCAATTCTTTCACATTTGTTGAGGTTTTTATTATGGTCCAGGGTTTGATCTACATTGGTAAATATTCCATGGACAGTTAAAAATGTGTATTCTTCTGTTTGGTGTGGTGGTCTGTAAATGTCTATTAGATCTTATTGGTGGATAGTTTTGTTGGGTTTCATTATCTGGCTGAGTTTTTGTACAGTTGTTTTATTAATATTTCAGAGATGGTTTGTGAAGTCTCAAAGTTTAATTGTGTATTTGTCTATTTCTCCTTCCAGTTCTGACCATTTTTGCTCTACTTATTTGTAACTCAGTTTTCTGATGCATACACATTTCGAGTTGCTATGTCTTCGTTCTGAATTAACGTTTTTATCTTTAGTGTTTCTGTTTATCTCTTAGAATATTCATTGCTCTGTGTATTTTATGTTATCTGATATTATAGCCATTTCTGCTTTCTTTGACAAATGTATGGTTTATTTTTTTCCGTTCTTCTATTTCAACCTTCCACTCTTGTAATATTTGCAGTAAGTTTCTAGTAGTGAGAAGTGAAGCCAGTTGGACTTCTGGGTTGGGTGGGGACTTGAAGAACTTTTCTGTGGCTAGCTAGAGGTTTGTAAAATGCACCAATCAGTGCTCTGTAAAAACACACCAATCAGTGCTCTGTGGCTTGCTAGAAGTGTATAAAATGGACCAGTCAGCACTCTGTAAAATGGACCAGTCAGCACTCTGTAAAATGGACCAGTCAGTACTCTGTAAAATGGACCAATCGGCAGGACATGGGTGGGGGCAAGTAAGGGAATACAAGCTGGCCACCCCAGCCAGCAGCAGAAAGCTGCTCCGGTCCCTTCCTGCACTGTGGAAGCTTTGTTCTTTTGCTCTTCACAGTAAATCTTGCTGCTGCTCACTCTTTGGGTCTGTGCCAACTTTAAGAGCTATAACGCTCACTATGAAGGTCCGCGACTTCATTCTTGAAGTCAGTGAGACCACAAACCCCATTGTTGAAGTCAGTGAGACCACGAACCCACTGGAAGGAACAAACTCTGGACACAGTAGGTAGTATATCTGTGGTTCATTATTTTTCACTCTGACGTTTGTCTTTTCAGACAATTTACATGTAATGCAATTATTAATATGTGAGTTCTTATGACTGCCATCTGCTTTTTGTATTCTTTTTTGTTTCCTTTGGTTTTAGCTTCTCTGTTTGCTTTTCCTGTTTTTTGATGTGTTCCTTAAGCAATTTTTAGAATTCCATTTTGTAATCAATCTTTTTTGGCATATCTCATTATATAGTTTTTGTGATTTATCTATTAACATAACTTATCATAGTCTACTGGTGCTGACATTTTGTCAATTTGACTAAAGTGTAGAAACTTTACTTCCTTTGTATCCCTTTCCATTCCTGCATTTATAATACACATTTTTTATTTTCTATACTTGCATCAAAAACCACATCTGACAATGTTGTGATTTTTGCCTCAACCATCAAATTAATTTACAAAACTGAGGAAAAGTCTGTTGTCTCAACCCATATTTTCAATCATTCTATTGTTTATTTTTTTCCTGATCGTCCAGGATTTCTTCCATTATCATTTCTATTCCAGTGCATTTCCTTTAGCTCTTGTTTTAGGATAAGTCTGCTAGCATCAAATTCTCTTGATTTTCCTTCCTCTAAGAATGTCATGGTTTGGCGTGGTGGCTCATGCCTGTAATCCCAGCACTTTGAGAGGCCAATGCAGGTGGATCCCGTGAGCTCAAGAGTTCCAGACCAGCCTGGGCTACATGAGCAAACCCTGTCTTGGCCAAAAATACAAAAATTAGCCAGGCGTGGTGGCGCGTGTCTGTAATCCAAGCTACTCAGGAGGCTGAGGTGTGAGGATCACATGAGCCTGGGAGGCAGAGGCTGCACTGAGCTGTGGTCGTGCCACTGCCCTCAAGCCTGGATGAAAGAGCAAGAGTCCATCTATAAACAAAAAAAAAAACAAAAACAAAGAATGCCATGATAGAACCTTCATTTTATAATAATATTTTTCTGGTTATACATTCTAGGTTAACATTACTTTCAGCCATTAAAATAACTTGTGCCACTTCTGACTGGTCTGCATGATTTCTAATGAGCAATCTGCTGTTATTTGATTTATTTAGGTCATTTCTCTCTTGTTGCTTTCAAGAGTTTTTTTGGGGGAGGCTGAGGCAGGAGAATGGCATGAGCCCAGGAGGCAGAGCTGAGATCGCAGCACTGCACTCCAGCCTGGGCGACAGAGCGAGACTCCGTCTCAAAAAAAAAAAAAAAAAAAAAAAAAGGTTTTTTTATCTAAATTTCTTTGGATTTATCTTCGTTTGGGTTTGCACAGATTCTTGAATTTTTACATTTAAGTCTTTGTCCAAATTTGGAAAATAGTCTTCCTTCAAATATTCTTTGGGCATCACCCATTTGTCATCTCCCTCTAAGACTCCAATGACACAAATTTCATATCTTTTGTTATAGTCCTAGAGATTTATCAGCATGAAATAATAATAATATGAATAACTTTGCAAAATAAATTTGCATGTAATGAATAAATTACTCAAAATGTACAATGTACTGAAGCTGACAAATAACATAAAATATGAAGAGTTCCACATCTTATAGAGAAAGTAAGCCCATTCCATAAAGTTTTCCCAAGACAAAACCGCAGGCTCATCCAGTTTCAGTAACTATTTTAAACTATTTAAGGAACAAACAACACTAACTTTACACAAACTTCAAACATATTTGAAAAAAGGAAAAATACTTGCAGTTACATTTAATGAGATCTGTGTAAACTTTACTTCAAGACCTGAAAAGAACTCTACAACAAATAGGAATTTGTGGACCAATAACTCTTATGAGCCAAGTTCTTAAGAAAATATTAGCCACCTGAATTCAGTGATACAAAAGATAGCTACCAAATCATGACCAAGTGGAATTTATTCCAGAAATGCAAGGTTGTTTGAGCATTTGAGACTCAATTAGTGTGATTCACTACATTAACTGAAGGAAGGAGAATACACATGCAACCACCTGCAGAGTCATGAAATATGATTTGACAGAATTCAGCGCTTGGCCTTAATTTTTTAAAAATCTGGCCGGGCGCTGTGGCTCATGCCTGTAATCCCAGCACTTTGGGCAGCTGAGTTGGGTGGATCACCTCAGGTCGGGAGTTCAAGACCAGCCTGACCAAAAGGAGAAACCCTGTCTCTAGTAAATATACAAAATTAGCCGGGCGTGGTGGCGAGTGCCTGTAGTCCCAGGTACTCAGGAGGCTGAGACAAGAGAATCGCTTGAACCTGGGAGGCAGAGGTTGCAGTGAGCTGAGATCATGCCACTGCACTCCAGCCTGGGCAACAAGAGCAAAGCTCCGTCTCAAAAACAAAAATAAAAATAAAAACAAAAACCTGCTTGCAAACTTGTATTTAAAAGGTATTTCTTCAATCTGAGAAATGATTGCTAACCTATTGCACACATTAGTCTTAGCAGTGAAATATATGCAAAACTCTCTCTTTCATATCTGGAATAGTAGAGGAGTCAGACAATGAAAATGGCAAGAAAAATATATGAAAGAGATAATAATTGCATCCAGGTAAAATTGTCATTATTTACTGTTGACCTAATCGGGTACTTAGAAAATAAAAATAATAGACAAACTCACAGATTTAATAAATAAATATAAATAAGATTGCTGGATACAAAGTCACTATACATTAAACCAATTATGTTATTGATACAGTTTGGATGTTTGTCCTATCCAAATCTCATGTTGAAATGTAACCTCCAACGTTGTATCCTTTTATAATACAAGAATTTTAAACAATATTTTTTTCTAAGGACTGCCTTGGTTGCATAACAAAAATTTTAAATATTCATTTTAGTATTATTTTATTTAAAATTATCTTCTAATTTTCCTTCTGATTTTATTTGACAAACCATAGATTATTTAGAAACGTATTATTTTACTTCCAAAAATTTGGGCAATGTTCTTCATCTTATTTATTTGTAATTTGACAAGACTGTTCAGATAATATACTCTGTATGATTTTATTCTTGTGAAAGTAATTGAGACTACTTTTATAGTCATAGTATTTGTTCTATTTCATGGATAATCTTTGTGCAATGTAAATAAATAAACATTCTGTAGTTCTCAGATGTCAGTATATATGTCAATTATAAATGCCAGCTAAGTCAAGATGGTTGAAAGCATTGTTCCTATCTTGATTTCCTTCGTGATCTTTGTTTGCACGAAGCTAGAGATGTGTGTTGTCTTCTATCGTCCTCCCTAGTTCCCACACCACCAGCATGAAGTCAGAAAAAGTTCTGGAAGGAGACTCAGCTGGCAGGGTAAAGTAGATATATATTATTCAGGGGGCCTCTATAGATTGTAATGCAGCACACCAGCTCACAGGGCTATTTACAACTCAGCTGCTTTGTCCTCAGTCGCTATCTCCCTTTCTCAGCCAGGCTCAATCTTCCCCCCATGTAAAGATTCCATAGAAGGACCAAAGAATAAGAGTGGACATTTGTCCTTGGCTCACCTAAGTGGAGTTTGTTCATCTCCGGAATTTGGAATTTTTATACTTTTTGATCTATGGTTCATTAAAATTTTAAAAATAAGATTATTTTGCAGTTTATCCATTTAGTCTAGTCTATTTTTTTTTGTTCTTGTAGTAACAGTGACAATTCTTGTAATTTTCTACCTCCTAATTGGCATTATGTTTTATGATTTTTTTCCAATTCATGTTGATAGTCCTACATAATTTACTTAAAGCCCTGTATATTATTCCTTTCTATGTCTATACCACAATTTACCCTTCTTTTTTTTTTTTGAGACGGAGTCTCCGTCTGTTGCCCAGGCTGGAATGCAGTGGCGCGATCTCGCTCACTGCAAGCTCCGCTTCCCGGATTCACGCCATTCTCCTGCCTCCGCCTCCCGAGTACCTGGGACTACGGGCGCCCGCCACCGCGCCCGGCTAACTTTTGTATTTTTAGTGGAGACGGGGTTTCACCGTGGTCTCGATCTCCTGACCTCGTGATCCACCTGCCTCGGCCTCCCAAAGTGCTGGGATTACAGGCGTGAGCCACTGCGCCGGGCCCACAATTTACCTTTCTTCTAAATATTGAGAATGTTTCTTTTCTCTCCTGTTACATTTTTTATATGTCATCATGGAGGTACAAGGAAAAATGTACCGAGACTGTAAAAACCTAGAGTGGTAATACTGTATTATCCCAACTACTCACAGGGTTACACCTATATATGCTAACAGTGCCACACACAGCACCAAATGTCATCCTGCAGTGTGCTGTCACTTCACATGCTGCATAGTTTTTATGATGTGCAAAAGTTTTATAATCAAGACAAATTAATCAGTTTTTCTTTTAGAATTTGGCAATGTTTTTGTTATTGCAAACCATGGCTCAAAACGACCAATTTTATATTTCTTTGGGCTCATGTAGGATTGTTTCCTTAAGACAGATGTTTAGAATGGGATTTTTGTTGTTTTCATCAAGCACGTAACAATTGCATTTTGAGTTTTAATAGTACACTGCCATCCACCCACAATCCTAATAATATAGGAGAATCTATTCCCATAGAATCTTCTAAATCCTTGATTTTAAAACAAACTGTTGTATTTTCCAGTTTTCAGGGGGAGAAATTGCTATTTGAATTTGGATTTTTCCATTCGTTGGTGAGTTTGAGCAAATATTTATTGACTATTGGAAGAGATTCCAATATTGACTATAGAAGAGATTCTATAGTCAATCTATATCCTTTGCCCAATTTTCCGTGGCATTTCCATTAATTAATTTATTGATTAGTTGACAATTTTTCATAAGAAAGCCCATTTTCTGCCTTATGTGATCAAAATTTTTCCTGAGCTTCATATACTTCTTTTAATTTTGTTATTTTCTTCATGCAAAGAAGTCAGTAATTTTCTTCAAATATTTTTTCATTTGTGTCTTCTGGATTTTGTCTTGCTTGCAAAGTCTTATTTTTTAAAAAAGAATTATTTTAACAGGATTCCTAAGGCTTAATTTACATGCTATGAGATTCATTCATTCTATATGTAAAATTTAATGATTTTAGTAAGTAAATAGATTTGTGCAATTATCACAACAATCCAGCTTTTTTTAAACATTTCTGTTATGTCCAAAATTTCTCTATTTATAGTTAATTCCCACCGATACCCCAAGCCATAGGCACCCAGTGATCTGCTTTTTGCGTCAATCAATTTACCTCTTTTACATATTTCAAGTAAATGAAATGATACATTATGTAACCTTTTGTGTCCAGTTTCCTTCACTTAGTTAACATTATTTAAGTTCATCAGTTTTGTAGTATGTATCTTCATTTTGTCCCTTTTCTTTTTATTTTCTCTTTTTTATTTGTGTAAATTTATAAAGTCCAAGTGTAGTTTTATTACATGCATAGATTGCATAGTATGTGAAGTCAGTGTTCCACAGTATCCATCACCTAAATCACATGCATTGTACCCGTTAAGCAATCTCTCATCACCTGGAGTGCAAGGGTTGAAACTTGCCTTGGGAAAATTACCCTCATGTTTATGGTATCTCCCCTGCCAGATGAGTCTCGTTTTGTTCCCTTTTACTGTTGAATGATATTGCCTTGCATGAATGTAGTTTATCCATTTTGTTTATCCATTTACTAGTTGAAGGATATTTGGATTGTTTTCAGTTTAGACCTACTATGGCTAACGCTGTTCTGAACACTTGAATGTGTAACTTCGTGAGGACATACGTTTTTATGTCTCTTAGGTAGATTCCAAGGAGTGAAATTGCTGGGTCATATGGCAAACATATGTTAAACTTTTAAAGAAATTGCCAAATTTCCAGGTATTTGTAAAATCATACACTCCCACCAGCAACACATAAGGGCTTAGAAAGTCTGTTTGTCATCAAACATAATTATAATGATGATGATAGTATTAGAAATAACATCTGTCTTGTTAATTTTATATTTTCTCTTGATGTTTCAATTTTTATTCATCCAGGATCCATTTGGTGAAAGAAATGACTTTGGAATACAACTTACCACAAACTGAAACTAAATCTCAACTCCTTCTGGTTCTAATTCTAGACTCTGTTTTACTAGCATATTTAACAAAAAATAAAGAATCAGTAACAAATATATTTTTTTTGTTTTTGAGATGGAGTCTCGCTCTGTCGCCCAGGCTGGTGTGCAGTGGTGAGATCTCGGCTCACTGCAAGCTCCACCTCCCAGGTTCACGCCATTCTCCCACCTCAGCCTCTGGAGTAGCTGGGACTACAGGTGCCCGCCACGATGCCCGGCTAATTTTTTTTTATTTTTAGTACAGACGTGGTTTCACCGTGTTAGCCAGGATGGTCTCGTGATCTGCCCGCCTCGGCCTCCCAAAGTGCTGGGATTACAGGCATGAGCCACTGCGCCAGGCCAACAAATGTGTTTTTTAAAATAAATGTATAGTATGTTTTAGCACCTTATAGAGCTAGTCATTCCTTATTCTACCTTTTTCAAAAATTCCCCCGTTAAAACAACATGTCAGCATACTTAATTGAGTTCTAAAATCAATCCTTTTTCCTGCTTTTTTGTTTTATTCTAATTGAGTTAATGGCAGACATTTAATGCTCGATACATATGTATTAAAAAAGACCTGAAACGCTGAATGGAGGATGCCTATCAGGAATCTCTAGGCCTTCATGTGGAATTTAACTGCAAATTCTAGCAACCTAAGAGTACCACAATCTATCATTTCCCTACCCTGAAATCAACCTCTCCTACTCCATCCACCATTTCTTTATTTTTAAAAATATATGATTTTGCTCCTTTTCTCCCCATGTGCATCAGGCCCACTCTACAAGGGTTGAATCCTGGCTTGTCTGAGCCCGTGTGATCCCACGGTCATTCCAATGAGAAAGTGGGTACTGTGAATACTCTGGAAACGGTGTAGTTGCTCCTTATAAAGGCACACAGGAAAAAGTAGTATCTTTTTCCTTTCTTTGGTAGTTTTGTGAAAGAATAAGAAACCTAAAGCGGCTGCAGGGATCCTCCGACCATTGCAGGAAAGCTGACATGCTGTGTATGATAGAGAGATGAGTTATGAAGTTCCAGGATCGCTGTTGATGCCACTGGCTTGCTGAGTTGAGCAACCCTGGAGACGCCCACCCTTGTATCTATTGCCTATGTGAGATCATGGGTTAAAGAAAAATAAAGCCCACTAGATGGGATTTCCTGCTGTTCACAGCAGAAGCATCTTCATTCAAATATTCATCCCACACATTTTAGTTCCATACCACAAGTCTCATATAAAATAAGACAAATCATCTCCTCAACTTAGGGAACAAGGCCTATTTGTTGCAACTCTGGGATCAAACAGAACAGACATAATTATTAGCTTAATATATTCCTATAGGATTTATGTTCTTATAGGATTTATAAGTACTTGTACTGATGTGTATGTACAAGTAACATATAACTAATAATAAAATATGCATAAATAAATATTGAATTTGAAAATAAGTTGTCTCTGACAGTAGAGAAATTATGCTCAAATGATTATTACTTTGAAATAGACTTCTGCATTGATTATGTACTTTTTAGTTTTGACATATTTGATACTGACTCTCAGAACACAATGGAGAACCCTCCATCTTCTAAATTTGTCTTTCTCTGAAATCTGTACAAGTCCTTTGGTAATACTATATTACTGAAGTCTCTGGAATGAAAAACCATATACTAATTTACAGTAATAGATACACAATATTGTAGATGGGATTAAGAAAGAGTTCTGGGCCAGATGCAGTGGCTCATGCCTGTAATCTCAGCACTTTGGGAGGCCGAGGCGGGTGGATCATGAGGTCAGGAGATCGAGACCATCCTGGCTAACACGGTGAAACCCCGTCTTTACCAAAAATACAAAAAAATTAGCTGGGCATGGTGGTGGGCGCCTGCAGTCCCAGCTACTCGGGAGGCTGAGGCAGGAGAATGGTGTGAACCCAAGAGGTACAGCTTGCAGTGAGCCAAGATCGCGCCACTGCACTCCAGCCCGGGCGACAGAGCAAGACTCCATCTCAAAAAAAAAAAAAAAAAAAAAAAATCTCATGTTGGCCAAGTTTCTTTCAGTTGTTACAGTCTCTTCTCAGTTTTTATGCATTGCCTTTGTAAATGTTAGGTTTACTTTTTTAACCGACAAGTAAAAAATTTATAGTGTATTTATGTTGTAGAGCCAAAGTTTTGATATATCCCTATAGTGTGGAAAGTTTAAATCAAGCTATTAAACATATGCATTACCTCACATACTTATGACATATACACAAAAACCATTATTCTATTGGGAAATAATCTTCCCTTCTTCTTTTCTTTTCCTTTTTTGTTCTTGGAGCCAAATGGACCAGATGATTTTTTTCCACTTTCTTGTTTTTTTTTTTTTTGCTATTATTATACCTTAAGTCCTGGGCTTCATGTGCAGAACGTGCAGGTTTGTTACATAGGTATACATGTTCCATGGTGGTTTGCTGAACCCATCACCCCATAATTTACATTAGGTATTTCTACTAATGCTATCCCTCCCCTAGCCCCCCACCCACTGACAAGCCCCAGTGTGTGGTGTTCCCCTCCCTGTGTCCATGTGTTCTCATTGTTCAACTCCCAGTTATGAGTGAGAACATGCAGTGTGTGGTTTTCTGTCCTTGTGTTAATTTGCTCAGAATGATGGTTTCCAGCTTCATCCATGTCCCTAAAAAGGACATGAACTCATCCTTTTTTATGCTGCGTAGTATATATGTGCCACATTTTCTTTATCCAGTCTAATATTGGTGGGCATTTGGGTTGGTTCCAAGCCTTTGCTGTTGAGAATAGTGCTGCAATAAACATATGTGTGCATGTATATTTATAGTAGAATGATTTATAATCCTTTGGGTATATACCCAATAATGGGACCACTGGGTCAAATGGTATTTCTAGCTCTAGATCCGTGAGGAATTGCCACACTGTCTTCCACAATGGTTGAACTAATTTACATTCCCACCAACAGTGTAAAAACTTTCCTATTTCTCCACATCCTCTCCAGCATCTGTTGTTTCCCAACTTTTTAATGATCACCATTCTAACTGGTATGAGATGGTATCTCATTGTGGTTTTGGTTTGCTTTTCTCTAATGACCAGTGATGATGAGCTTTTTTTCATATGTTTGTTGGCTGCATAAATGTCTTCTTTTGAGAAGTGTCTGTTCATATCATTCACCCACTTTTTGATGGTTTTTTTTTTCTTTTCCTTTTTTTTGAGACAGAGTCTCACTCTGTCACCCAGGCTGGAGTGCAGTGGTGTGATCTTGGCTCACTGCAAACTCTGCCTCCCGGGTTCATGCCATTCTCCTGTCTCAGCCTCCTGAGTAGCTGGGACTGCAGGTGCCCACCACCATGCCCGGCTAATTTTTTTGTATTTTTAGTAGAGACGGGGTTTCACTGTGTTAGTCAGGATAGTCTCGACCTCCTGACCTCGTGATCCACCCGCCTCAGCCTCCCAAAGTGCTGGGATTACAGGCGTGAGCCACTGCGCCTGGCCGGGGTTGTTTTTTTCTTGTAAATTTGTTTATTTGTAGATTCTGGATATTAGCCATCTGTCAAATGGATATATTGCAAAATTTTTCTCCCATTCTGTAGGTTGCCTGTTCACTCTGATGATACTTTCTTTTGTTATTCAGAAGCTCTTTAGTTAAATCAGATCACATTTGTCTATTTTGGCTTTTCTTGCCATTTTTTTTTTTGTTTTGGTGTTTTATACATGAAGACTTTGCCCATGCCTATGTCCTGAATGATATTGCCTAGGTTTTCTTCTAAGGTTTTTCTGGTTTTAGGTCTTACATTTAAGTCTTTAATCTATCTTGAGTTAATTTTTGTATGAGGTGTAAGAAAGGGATCCAGTTTCAGCTTTCTGCATATGACTAGCCAGTTTTCCCAACATCATTTATTAAATAGGGAATTCTTTTCTCTTGCTTGTTTTTGTCAGGTTTGTCAAAGATCAGACGTTTTTAGATGTAGATGCGTGGCATTATTTCTGAGGCCTCTGTTCTGTCCCATTGGTTTATATATCTGTTTTGGTACCAGCACCATGCTGTTTTTGTTACTATAGCCTTGTAGTATAGTTTGAAGTCAGGTAACGTGATGCCTCTAGCTTTGTTCTTAAGTCCTTTAGGCAGCAAAGAATACCTCATAGATGCTCTTTAACTGTAGGGTGACTCCAAGTACTAAAGATCTCAGCTTCAGCTCCAAGGATTTTTCCCCATAAGGAAGAAAGAGCACTAAGCATAACTTCTGTCAGAGACCTTGCATACATTACAGGGTAAACATTGGAGTTCAGAAAGAAAAGAAAGGAGGTAATGGGGAGGCCACTGGGTCCATTCTCACATATGAGGAAGAGGGGACAATATCACAGGTTCTGTCAAGGGCATAACACAGGATTGTCTAGGAGAGACCCTTTGAATTCCCTTGACTCCCAGAAAATTTTCAGAAAAAAACTCCTTTTGTCTAACATAGGTCAACATAATAAAGGGAAGTGCTGTATGGGGAATTTATTTTAGCATCCTTATTTCTAAATCCTCTGAGGACCCTGAGGACATGTGATGCAAAGGTTTCATTGGTGAAGATTTGAGAAGAAATGACCTGTATGGAGGCCCCTTACACAGTCTCATGGAGAGGGCAAGTAGTCAAGATCCTTTTGTGGAGGAAATAATTTGGGATCCCATGATAAAGATGGGCAATCTCTGAAGAAAATGTCACAATTTCTTAAGGCACCTGGCCTGGGCACAATGTTAACACAACTCCCTATTTTCCGCACCCCATAGTAGCTCAGCACCCACAATGTGCACTTATGTCAGGTGTCCCTAGCCAAAGCCAGTGGGGAGCTCAGCACCGTCAGTGTCACTGTCAGCGCTGCCATGTAGGAACCTCCAGGGAGCTTCAGACACACCATGCTGGAGAACAGGACAGGACCAGGGGCCAGAAGAGCAGGCAAGTCTCACTCAGGGAGAACTATGACCCCCCTCCACCCACATTCCAAATTATAGGGAGGAAGTTACTGATTTCCTTCCTCCTGGGTTGGGTAATCTCGTGTTGGAGAACCAATCAGCATCTGAGTTCAATAGTATCATCAGTTGCTGGTCAGAGATGCTGTATTTATGTCCTCTTCTGAAACAGAATTTCCTTCTTTAAAGGATTGTTTTAAATTAGTACTTGAAAGATTTGATCCAGTTGCATGTAAAACACTAACTGGGTCCCTATTGTTAGCCAGCTCTGTGCTGGTCAGTGATGTGTTCACAAGTTTGAGCCTTGTAAGAGCATTCATTTCCCACCTGACAAGACAACTGTTTGCAGAAGTGAGTGTGTGAGTGTGTTTAGGAGTAAAGGAGATGGAGGGAACATGGTTGTAAATCGGAGACCTTTAATCTGGTCCTTATTGCACTGTATCTTAATGTTGTAGATTTGGGAAAATTATTTCATGTCTCACAGTTGAAATGAAGACACTGTGATCTTTCAGGTCTTTCAATACTGGAAAATGCTGTGATTCTGCAGACACCTCAAGGAGCAGCAGCCCCGGGTATCTGATAATATGACAGGATGACAGCTATTGACTAGAGAGCTTAATCCATACCTATTTACAGGTAGGGATGTCTTTAATAAGTTAAAGGAAATTGACAGTTTGTTAATAATTTAATCTGAGTAAAAATATCTTTTTCAAGTATGTCTCCTGATGCTGCCCCCAAGTTTAGTGGCACCTCCAGAACACACACAGGCAAGGGGCTAACAGGGGCCACATGTGTGCAATGGAGGGTCTGAACGTGCCTTTGTACAGCACTTACCCTAAAAATATGATAAGGTCAACTTTGCAATCCAAGTATTTGTGGGTTTGAGAGATCAATCGAAGACTCTCAAAGTCAGCTGTTCACAGAACAACTATTTTTTCTTTTTTTTTTGAGACGGAGTCTCGCTCTGTTACCCAGGCTGGAGTGCAGTGGTGTGATCTTGGCTCACTGCAACCTCTGCCCCCTCAGTTCAAATGATTCTCCTGCCTCAGCCTCCTGAGTAACTCTGACTACAGGCACGTGCCACCACGCTTGGTTGATTTTTTGTATTTTTAGTGGAGATGGGGTTTCACTGTGTTAGCCAGGATGGTCTCGATCTCCCGACCTCGTGTTCTGCCTGCCTTGGCCTCCCAAACTGCTGGGGTTACAGGCATGAGCCATCGTGCCTGGCCACAATTCTGTTTTAAAATAATTAATATTTTATGTGAAGAGTGTTCAATCCCTCATTCCTGGTTCCATTATGATTTCCTCATTTGATTGAGGCTATAGCACTTTACTATTATGTTTCTCTTGTTTTATCATAAGGGAAGATAGAAGATGACTTTGCTAACTAATACATTTTAGAATGTTCAGGAAAGAGAACACTAGGGAAAACTATGAATTACATCAGTTGATGTAACCATATAATATTAAACATATACATTTAGATAATTATTATGCTTTTTATTAATATAAATGTAACATCTAAGATTCAGAATGGACTTCAAAGTACAACTATACTTATAGCGTTCTGCATTAATTCACACGCTACCACATAGGCACTCATTCCTTATGGGCCTTAGTGTTTCCAGGGGCAGGATTCTCACCATGCTGCCATAAAAATGAGCATTTTACTTTATACTCAGAATTGTACTAAGCGCTTTTTATACTTCATGTTTTTATTCCATTCTCACATCAGCTCAGTAAAATAAACACCCTTTTCATGCTTACAGGTAGAGAGAATAAAACAATGGAGATGAAACAACTTTTGCAAAGATACACAGCTAGTAAATGGTACACTATAGATTGAACCAAATTACATACCCCTCAGGCTCAGCCACTATATCATAATCCTTCACATTCTATTTCTGAGAATAATGTCCTATGTATTAAAATTATTTATATTCCTATAATTTATGGATGCACATAGCAATATGGCTACTCATGTTAATGAATGGCAGCAGTATACAATTTGAGGAAGATACTGTGTAGCAATTCTAGTTCCTTCAAAAGAACCCCCTCATTATCATCCTTACCCTCCCCTGGAAATGACAACATTTGCATTTGTCTTATGTGATGACACCCATAGCTCCTGAGAAGTCTCCTTCTTATTAAAGGTAATAGTGACCTCAAAATTCTTAAATAAAAACTATTGCTCAGAATTATTATTTCAGATTTCTCATGATAAAGTAGTAAATTTGATCATCTCAAAATAGAAGAAAAAAGTGCCTCACTTACTTTGGAAAAACATACTTCTATTAATATAGAAAGTTCAAAATTTCACGGGTGAAAGTCACTATTGTCCCTGGATTTGAGAATAAACTATGTCTCTATACCCCAATAATAATTCAATACTATTGGAAGTTGTGAAATTGCAACCAGAATATCACATTTAATTTGGTCAACAGAAAATAATAATTTACTTAGAAACTAATTTAGTCCCAGCTACTCAGGAGGTGGGTAGATTGCTAGAACCTGGAAGGTCCACGCTGCAGTGACCCAAGATCATGTCACTGCATTCCAGCCTGGGTGACAGAGGGAGACCCTGAAAAAATAAAAATAAAAAGGAAAAAAAAAAACAAAAAAAAAGAAAAGAAGGAACAAACTGTGTAAAAAAGAAACTAATTGAGATGATGGTAATCTAGGAAATCCAGCTAAGGTTCAGCTTAGTATTTGAGGTTAAAAGGGTGGTGATGCTGGCAGTGGCGAGCTGTCCAGAATGGCTGGCTGCAGTGGGAAGTTGCAAGCGGTGGTGGCAGGAACGACTGAGGGAGCCGTGGCCATGGTGGGACCCCTGTGCCCCATGTCCCCTGTGCCTTGCGCCCCTGAGGCAGCCAACTGCGCTGCCCCAACCCTTGAGCAGCCGGAGGGACTGCCCCCAGGCCAGGAGCCTCCACGACTCCTGCTTTGCTGCTCTCATCCTGCAGCTGTGGGGAGGGCATGGAGCTAGGGCCAGGCTTGTTGGGCCCGGTTTGGAAGTGGGAGTAGCCCTGCTCTGGGGACCCAGCCAGTGGCATGGTCACTGTCCCACCATGCTGACGAAGCCCAGTTCCTGCACCTCAGGAAGAGGTTCTGCCTGAGGCAGCCCAGGGTTGTGTCCCCAGGGTGGCCACGAAGCCTGATTTTCCCGACGGCCAGGCTTGGGCCTGATCTGCTCCCCACGGTGCCTCCCTCACCCCATCCAGGCAAGGGGGAGCCCCAGGCACCCCTGAGTGGTAGGTGAAGAACTTGCAGACACATCATCCTTGCCCCAGATGCTGGCATGGGCACAGATGAGGGGAGCTGTCCACCCCAGGCTGTGTGAAGGTGTGACAGGGGCTATCTGCAGACTCCAGGGATTGAGTGGGAGTCCTGCCCTCCACGCAGCAGGATACCGGCCTCTCTGCACTCCATGCTCTCAAGGACGTGAAGCACCCCCTGCCCCTGCAGGCTTGCAGGTGTCTGCTCCCACTGCCTGGCTTCTCACCTGGCTTCTCCAGGCCCCCGGGCGCCCACTCTGATCTCAGAGTGGAGTTTGGGGCCAAGCCCCAGTGCTGTTACAGCCTAGCTGGGTGTGTGCATGTTCAGGACAACGTTGATACACCAGCCTCCTGCCACCTCAGCCATGGGGAAGCCGAGGGAAAATGGGCTGAGGGCAACTGGTGCTGGCCTATAGGCCCTTTGCCATGAGCAGCCTAGGTGCCATGGACGGGGTTGGGAGGCAGACAGTCTCCTGAGCAGAAGGGGGCAGGTCCCTGATGAAGCCCCTCCTTCAGGCCAGGGAGGGATTGAAGGCTATGGGTTGGGCTGCCAGTCCTGCAGACAGGAGTGGGAACTTGTGCCTTTTCTGGGCCTGCCCCATGGCCATCCATTCTTCCCCTCTGAGGCCCGTAAAAGCCCTGGGCTCAGGTGGACTTGAGAAGAGGATGGAGAGAGCATAGAGACAGGACAGGGACATGAGGGATAAGTTGCTGAGGAGAGGATTTAACATCCCCAGGGTCTCCTCTCAGCTGCAGAGTGAAGCTGCCCTCACCAGGGTCTCCTCTCTGCTGAGAACTGAGGAGAGGACAGGACAATCAGATGCAGAGAGGAGCTACCCTCTCTGTTGATAGCTGAACAAGTGTTGAGGCAACCTGGCTATGGATAGGAGTGGCCCACTGCGGCTCTCTGAGCTGTTCTATTGCTTAATAAAGCTCCTCTTTGTCCTGCTAACCCTCTACTTGTCTGCGTACCTCATTCTTCCTGGACGCAGGGCAAGAACTGGGAATCTGCCTAATGATGAGGCTAAAAAAGCTGTAACATGAACAGGGTGTAGATGAGCAACAGAGAATGTAGTCAAATGCCGACAAAGATGGAATGAAAAAGCAAAAATAAATCCATATCATTCCATGTAACAAGACCATTTTTTTAAAGTAGTTTTAAGTGGACAGAAAAATTGCAGAGAAAGTTCATGGAGTCCCCACAGCCCTTCTTCCCTAAAGCACCCCTCTGCTCAGTTTCTCCTATTATTAACATCCTGCATCAGTGTGGTACACTTGTTACTACTGATGAAGCAATACTGATACTTGTTGTTAACTGAGATCCATAGTGAAATTAGAGATCATTCTTATTATACAGTTCTATGGGTTCTGATAAATACATAATGTCATATATCCACCATTTAGTGGAAGTGACCCAAGAGTCCCATAGGCAGTTTTTTTTTTAAATAAACATAGAAATGGACACTTGTGGTCTTAAAGCTTGAAACTTACATTTGTTTTATCTGAGTTCCTTTCTAAAAAAAGATTCCCCCAGGGCTCTCAAAAAGTGTCAAAGAACTGGAACTCACCAGAACATCTCATCCAGACAACGAGACTCCAGGTTCCTCATTCATCATGATTGTTCCCTTACCGCCCCCCCCCCCCCAGTTCCTGTTTTCTCATACATAGTTACATTTCTTCCATGCTAGATAAATTCCTAATTTTAGTCAGTCACAGAGATGGATTTGACACTGGTCTCCCATCTCCTCAGCTTCAGCACCTGATTAAAGATTAAAGCCTTCTTCTTTGGCAATACTCATTGTCATCTCAGTGATTGGCTTTCTGTGTGGTGAGCAGCAAGACCCAGACTGAAGCCCTTGTGTGCAAGACCTAGACTGAACCCTGGTGTTTCAGTGACAAAATTATCCTGTGAAGTAGTTTCGCTGACCTAAAATTGTCCCAGGCTCCACCTACTCATGCACTCCTCTTCCGCCTGAATCCCTGGAAACCACTATTTACTGTCACTGTATTTATGCCTTTTCCAGAATGTTATACAGTTGTAATCATATGGTATATAGTTTTTTTCAGACTGGCTTCTTTCACATAACAATATGCATATAGGTTTTCTCCTGTCTTTTCCTAGCTGGATAGCTTATTTCTCTTTAATGTTGAATAACAACCCATGGTATGGATCTACCACAATTTGTTTATCCACTCACTTACTGGAGAACATCTTCGTTGCTTTGAATTTTTGGCAATTATAAAGAAAGCTGCTATAAACATTCGTGTATACTTGTTTGTGTGGACAGAAGTTTTCCACTTATTTGGGCAAATACTTAGGATTGCAATTGCTGAATCTTATGGTAGAGTATGTTTCGCTTTGTAAGAAACAGCCAGAGTGTCTTCCAGATAAGCCAGTAGAATAGGGTCTGGAGGCAGGGAACCTAAGGCCATTTCATGTCGACTCCCGAATTGAACTAAATTGAGAGGAAAACTCAAACTTTCTATGCCTAAGTAGCAAAAGGACCAGAGACTACTCCCTTTGTAACACACCCCCTTTACTGCTTGACAAATGGGAAATTGAGAGTACCTCTGATTGGTTGTTTTTTTGCAACCAATCAGATGTTTGCATAGGAGTGTAGCTTTGTAACTTCATTTCGGCCTTGGATCGGTTGTGGAATTGTTTTCCTCAAAATTTCTACAGCCTAGTGATAAAAATCCTAGAAAAGCAAAATAAGCACAAACCAAGGTGGCATAACCTTGTAAAACTTAACGAATAAATAAGTTTCTTTACCTATGGTTTAGAGAAAGCAGACTCTTGAGAATGTTGCAAATAGAATTAAGTGTTTGCTAACATATCTACAATTTTAATATAAAACAAATAGGTGAACAATAGAGAATACACTCAAACTCAGACAAGTATGGAATGAAAAGCAAAAGTAAGTCCATATCCTCCCATATAACAAGACCATTTTTAAAGCAGTTTCAAGTGTATGAAAAACTTCCAGAGAAAGTTTAGGGAGTTCCCACATATCTCCTTCCCTAAAATGGCCCTCTGTTCAGTTTCTTTTATTATTAACATCCATACAACTAATACCTCTACTTACAGGGTTAGGAATGGCTACTGCTACAGGAACCAGAATAGCCAGTTTATCTACTTCATTATCCTACTACCACACTCTCAAAGGATTTCTCAGGCAGTTTGCAAGTAATAACATAATCTATCCTTACTCTACAATCCCAAATAGACTCTTTGGCAGCAGTGACTCTTCAAAATCGCCGAGGCCTAGACCTCCTCACTGCTGAGAAAGAAGGACTCTGCATCTTCTTAGGGGAAGAGTGTTGTTTTACACTAACCAGTCAGGGATAGTATGAGATGCCGCCCAGCGTTTACAGGAAAAGGCTTCTGAAATCAGACAATGCCTTTCAAACTCTTATACC
Source organism: Homo sapiens (assembly GCF_000001405.40). Taxonomy (NCBI): domain Eukaryota; kingdom Metazoa; phylum Chordata; class Mammalia; order Primates; family Hominidae; genus Homo; species Homo sapiens. The sequence continues at coordinate 3,864,434 of NT_167247.2, forward strand.
AAACTCTGGAGTTGGGCGACATGGCTTCTCCCCTTTCTAGGTCCTGTGACAGCCATCTTACTATTACTCGCCTTTGGGCCCTGTAGTTTTAACCTCCTTGTCAAATTTGTTTACTCTAGGATCAAGGCCAACAAGCTACAGATGGTCTTACAAAGGGAACCCCAAATGAGCTCAGCTAACAACTTCTACCAAGGACCCCTGAAATGAGTCACTGACCCTTTTACTGGCCTAAAGAGCTTCTCTCTGGAGGACACTACAACTGCAAGGCCCCTTCTTCACCCCTATCCAGCAGGAAGTAGCTAGAGTGGTCATTGCCCAATTCCCAACAGCAGTTGCCATGTCCTGTTTAGAGCGGGGATTGAGAGGTGAAGTCAGCTGGGCTTCTGGGTCAGGTGGGGACTTGGAGAACTTTTCTGTTTAGCTAGAGGATTATAAATGCATCAATCAGCACTCTGTGTCTAGCTAAAGGACTGTAAATGCACCAATCAGCACTGTGTAAAAATGCACCAATCAGTGCTCTGTGTCTAGCTAAATGATTGTAAATGCACCAATCAACACTCTGTAAAATGGACCAATCAGCACGCTGTAAAATGGACTAATCAGTAGGATGCGGGCAGGGCCAAATAAGGAAATAAAAGCTGGCCACCCAAGCCGGCAGTGGCAACTGGCTCAGGTCCACTTCCACGCTGTGGAAGCTTTGTTCTTTCACTCTTCACAATAAATCTTGCTGCCGCTTACTCTTTGGGTTCAGACTACCTTTATGAGCTGTAATACTCACCCTGAGGGTCTGCGGCTTCATTCCTGAAGGCAGCAAGACCACGAACCCATCGGGAGGAACAAACAGCTCCAGACGTGCCACCTTTAAGAGCTGTAACGCTCACTGCGAAGGTCTGCAGCTTCACTCCTGAAGTCAGCGAGACTACGAATCCACCAGAAGGAAGAAACTCCGGACACATCTGAACATCTGAAGGAACAAACTCTGGACACACCATCTTTAAGAGCTGTAACATTCACCGCGAAGGTCTGTGGCTTCATTCTTGAAGTCAGTGAGACCAAGAACCCACCGGAAGGAATAAATTCCGGACACAGAAGGACTGTCCCATTTTACATTCTCCCCATCAGTGTATGAGAAATTCAATTTTTCTGCATTCTCACCAGCATTTACCATTGTCAGATTTTTTAGAGATTTTAGCTGTATTAGGAGTTGTATAGTGCTATTATACCAAGTTCTTAATTTGCATTTCCCTGATGGCTACTGATTTGCATGTCATTCATTGCGCTTATTTGCCATGTATATATATCCTCTTTGATAAAATGTCTCTTCATATCTTTTGCCCATTTTGTAATTAACAATTTTTTTTTTTGAGACAGAGTCTCGCTCTGCCACCCAGACTGGAGTGCAGTGGCACAATCTCAGCTCACTGCAAACTCTGCATCCCAGGTTCATGCCATTCTCCTGCCTCAGCCTCCTGAGTAGCTGGGACTACAGGCGCCTGCCACAACACCCGGCTAATTTTTTTTTTTTTTTGCATTTTTAGTAGAGACGGGGTTTCACCATGTTAGCCAGGATGGTCTCCATCTCCTGACCTCGTGATCCGCCCACCTCGGCCTCCCAGAGTGCTGGGATTACAGGCGTGAGCCACCATGCCCGGCCATAATTAAATTTTATAGTCTGCACTCTACTATATATTTTATAGAAGAGCTTTTATAGTTCATTACATATTTTCAACAATGTATTCTTGGTAATATATGTGGTTTTAAATATTTTCTCCGTATCTCTAACTTACTTTTTATTTCTTAACAGGATACTTTACAGAAGAAACCTTATTTATTGATTTTTTTTGTTTTTGTTTTTGTCTTTTTGTTTTTTACACATAGCGCTTTTGATGTCGTGTCTAAGAACTCAGAACTCAGACAGCAGGCCCTAGCTTCTGATGATGTTTCTTATGTTTTCTTCTAAACGTTTTACATGTAGACATGATTTAATTGGGATAAATGTTTTCATAAGGTCTGAGAATTTGTTAAGTTTCTTTCTTGCTTCTTTTTCCTTTTGCTTCTTTTTTGTTTTTGTCTATGAATTTCCACTTTCTCCTGGACCATTGTTTGAAAAGACTATAGCCTATATTACCTCCATTGAATTATTTTGCATCTTTGTCAAAATGAGTTCGTATAGGTGTATTTCTGGATTCTCTATGCTGCTCCACTAATCTATGTCTATCCCTGCACTAAATCAGTATTGATTACTATAGCTATAAAAATTCTGAAATTTGGTAAGAGTTCCTTCATCTCTTTTTCCCTATGAAATTTGTTTTACCTATACTAGTTCCCTTGGTTCTCCATATGCATTTTAGAATAACTTTGTCTACAACTATTACAAATCTTGCTGGAATTTAGAGAGAAATTGTGTTAAACCTGGACATCAAAGTGGGGAGAATTGACGTCTTTACTATATTTAGTTTTCTAGTTGATGAACACAGTAAATCTCTTCATTTCTTCAGATTTTTTTATTTCTTTTTCTTTTTATACTTTAAGTTTTAGGGTACATGTGCACATTGTGCAGGTTAGTTACATATGTATACATGTGCCATGCTGGTGCGCTGCACCCACTAACTGGTCATCTAGCATTAGGTATATCTCCCAATGCTACCCCGCCCCCCTCCCCCCGCCCCACAACAGTCCCCAGAGTGTGATATTCCCCTTCCTGTGTCCATGTGATCTCATTGTTCAATTCCCACCTATGAGTGAGAATATGCGGTGTTTGGTTTTTTGTTCTTGCGATAGTTTACTGAGAATGATGATTTCCAATTTCATCCATGTCCCTACAAAGGACGTGAACTCATCATTTTTTATGGCTCAGCATTTCAGCATATGGATTGTGTACATGTTCTGTTGGTATACTTATGAGGTTTTTTGAATGGAAATAATTCATGTTGTATTTTTAGTATTTGTTTTGATTTCTTTATTACTGTATATTCAAATAAAATTAATTTTTTTGTTGATCTTGAATTCTGTGACCTTGTGAATTTCCTTAGTAGCTGAAACAGAAGAGGAAAAGCATTCAGACTTCCACTATTAAGTGTAATTTAGCCGCAACATTTTTGTATAAGTTATTTATCCAGTTGAGGAGGTCATCCTCAGTTCCTACTATTTTGAGGGGCTTTTATAAATCATAAATTAATGTAGAATTATGTCAAAGGCCTTCTCTACATCAACTGATAGAACCGTGCGATGTTTCTTCTTTAGCTTCTTAATAAGATGGATGACATTGATTGATTTCAAACATTAAACCAGACTTGCATCCCTAAAATAAACGCTACTTGGCATAGTTTACATATATTTTTAGTTTGGCTGATTTTTTACTTGCTAACATTTTGTTAGGGAGTTTTGCATGTATAGTCATGCAGGTATATTGCTTTTTAATTTTCTTTTCCTGTACTATATTTGTGTGCTTTTGATTTTAGGAAATGCTGGCCTCATAAAGTAAGTTGGGATGTCTTCCCCTCTCTTCTGCTTTCTGGAGGAAACTTTGCAGAGTTGTGTTAATTCTACTGAAATGTTTGGTAGATTTCTCCTGTGAAACTATTCTAACCTAGAGATTTCTCCTGTAAGTTCAACTCTTTTTATAATTATAGAGCTTTTCAATGTATCTATTTCATATTGAGTTAGTTGTAATAGTGTGTATTTGTGTACTTTTAAAGGATTCTTTTCCATTTCACCTAAGTGTTCTTGGTGTATTCCTTTGGTGTACTATTGATGTCAAAGAATCTGTAGTGATATAATGTTTCCACCCCAATATTGGTGTTTTTTCTTTCTCCTTTTTCCTTTTATTTTGTCCTAGAAATTTGTCAGTTCTATTGATATTTTTAAAGAACAAACTTTTTTTCCCACTGATTTTCTCTCTCTCTCTCTCTTTTTTTTTTTTTTTCTTTTTGAGTTGGAGTTTTTGCTCTTGTTGCCCAGGCTGGAGGGCAATGGCGCGATCTCGGCTCACTGCAACCCCCGCCTCCCAGGTTCAAGTGATTCTCCTGCCTCAGCCTCCCGAGTAGCTGGGATTACAGGAATGCGCCACCATGCTCGGCTAATTTTGTATTTTTAGTAGAGATGGGGTTTCTCCGTGTTGGTCAGGCTCAAACTCCCGACCTCAGGTGATCCGCCCGCTTCAGCCTTGCAAAGTGCTGGGATTACAGGCATGAGCCATTGAGTTCTGCCTTTATATTAGTTTTTTTTTTCCTTCTTCTTCTTGATTTAGGTTATTTTTGACAACTTTTCTAGATTTTTGAGGTGGGAACTGAGATTATTGGTTTCTGAAGTTTTCTCTTTTTCAGTGTATACATTTTGTACTACGCATAGTACTTCAAAGCGCGCCTTTAGCTATGTGCCAAACATTTTGATATGTTGTATTTTCATTATCAGTTAGTTGAACATACTTTTTATTTTCCTTAAGACATCTTTTTTTTTGAGATGGAGTCTTGCACTGTCGCCCAGGCTGGAGTGTAGTGGCGTGATCTCAGCTCACTGCAAGCTCTGCCTTCCAGGTTTACTCCATTCTCCTGCCTCAGCCTCCCGAGTAGCTGGGACTACAGGTGCCCGCCACCACGCCCAGCTAATTTTTTTTTGTATTTTTAGTAGAGACGGGGTTTCACCGTGTTAGCCAGGATGGTCTCAATCTCCTGACTTCGTGATCCGCCTGCCTCGGCCTCCCAAAGTGCTGGAATTACAGGCGTGAGCCACCGTGTGGCATCTCTGGCTGGAGTGCAGTGGCGCGATGTCAGACAAGCTCTGCCTTCCGGGTTCAAGTGATTCTCCTGCCTCAGCCTCCCGAATAGCTGGGACTACAGGCGCCTGCCACCACGCCCGCTAATTTTTTGTATTTTTAGTAGAGACGGGGTTTCACCATATTGGCCAGGATGGTCTCGATCTCTTGACCTCGTGATCCACCCACTTCGGCCTCCCAAAGTTCTGGGATTACAGGCGTGAGCCACCTCACCAGGCCTTTTTTTTTTTTTTTTTTTTTTTTTGAGACGGAGTCTCACTCTGTCATCCATGCTGGAGTGCCAAGACATCTTTTTTGATCCAAGGGTAATTTAAAAGTATGTTACTAAGTTTCCATGTGTTTGGAGTTATACTGATTTTCTTCATGTTACTGATTTCTGGTTCAGCTCCGTTGTTTCCAGGGAGCACAGTCTGTATGATTTCAATTCTTTACATTTGTTGAGGTTCCTTTTATGGTCCAGGGTATGAGAGATGTTGGTAAATATTCCATGGAGAGTTAAAAAATGTGTATTCTTCTGTTTGGTGTGGTGGTCTGCAAATGTCCATTAGATCTTATTGGTGGATAGTTTTGTTGGGTTTCATTATCTTGCTGAGTTTTTGTCCAGTTGTTTTATTAACTTTTCAGAGTTCGTTTGTGGAGTCCCAAAGTTTAACTGTGTATTTGTATATTTCTCCTTCCAGTTCTGACCGTTTTTTGCTCTACTTATAAGTAACTTAGTTGTGTGGTGTACACACCTTTAGAGTTGCTATGTCTTCTTCCTGAATTAACATTTTTATGATTATGTAGTGTTTCCATTTGTCTCTCAGAATATTCTTTGCTCTGTGCATTTTATGTTATCTGATATTATAGCCATTTCTGCTTTCTTTGACAACAGTTAGTATGGTTTATTTTTTTCCATTCTTCTGTTTCAGCCTTCCACTCTTGTAATATTTGCAGTAAGTTTCTCATAGGTAGCATATCGATGGGTAATTATTTTTCACTCTGACATTTTGTCTTTTTAGACAATTTAATGTAATGCAATTATTAATATGTGAGCTCTCATGACTGCCATTTGCTTTTTGTTTCCTCTGGTTTTTGCTTCTCTGTTTTCTTGCCCTGTTTTTTGATGTGTCCCTTAAGCAATATTTAGAATTCCATTTTTTAATCAATCATTTTTTGGTGTATCTCATTGTAGAGTTTTTGTGATTTATCTATTAACGTAACTTATAGTCTACTTGTGCTGAGATTTTTTCAATTTGACTGCAGTGTAAAAACTTTACCTTTTTATCCCTTTTGCTCCTGCATTTATAATATATATTTTTTATTTTCTCTACTTGCAGATGTGACAATGTTGTAATTTTTGCCTCAACCATCAAACTAATTTATAAAACTGAAGAAGAGAAGTCTGTTGTATTGACCCATATTTTTACTCATTCTATAGTTTCTTTTTTTCCTGATTGTCCAAGATTTCTTCCCTTATCATTTCTATTCCAGTTCAAGCACTTCCTTTACCCTTGTTTTAGGATAAATCTGCTAGCATCAAATTCTCTTGATTTTCCTTCCTCTAAGAATGTCATGGCCGGGCACGGTGGCTCACACCTGTAATCCCAGCACTTTTGAAGGCCAAGGCAGGCGCATCCCCTAAGCTCAGGAGTTTGAGACCAGCTTGGGCATCATGGCAAAACCTTGTCTCTGCCAAAAATACAAAAAGTTAGCCAGGCTTGGTGGTGTGTGTCTGTAATTCCAGCTACTCAGGAGGCAGAGGTGTGAGGATCACATGAGCCTGAGAGGCAGAGGCTGCAGTGAGCCATGGTTGTGCCACTGCCCTCCAGCCTGGGTGACAGAGCAAGACTCTATCTAAAAAACAAAAAAAAAAGAAAAGAAAAAAAAGAATGTCATGATAGAACCTTCATTTTATAATAATATTTTTCTGGATATACATTCTAGGTTAACATTACTTTCAGCCATTAAAATATCTTGTGGCACTTCTGTCTGGTCTGCATGATTTCTAATGAGGAATACACTGTCCTTTATTTTCTCCTGTACATGAGATGTCATTTCTCTCTTGTTGCTATCAAGATTTTTTGACATAAATTTCTTTGGATTCATCTTCCTTTAGATTTGCACAGATTCTTGAATTTTTACTTTAAAGTCTTTATCCAAATTTGGAAAATAGTCAATCTTCCTTCAAAGACTCTTTGGGCATCACCCATTTGTCATCTTTCTCTAAGACTCTAGTGACACAAATTTCATATCTTTTGTTATAGTCTTACAGATTTATCATCATGAAATAATACTGAATATTATGAATAACTTTACAAAAACAAATTTGCATGTAATTAATAAATTACTCAAAATGTGCAATGTACTGAAGCTAACAAATAACATAAAGTATGAAGAGTTCCACATCTCATAGAGAAAGCCCATTCTATAAAGCTTACCCAAGACGAAACCCCAGGTTCATTTAGCTTCAGTAAATATTTTAAAATATTTAAGGAACAAACAACACTAACTTTATGCAAACTTCAAACATTTGAAAAAGCGGAAAACACTTGCAGTTTGGTTTGATGAGATCTGTGTAAAATTTACTTCAAGATCTGAAAAGAACTCTACAACAGATAGGAATTTATGGACCAATAATTCTTATGAGCCAAGTTCTTAAGAAAATAATAGCCAACTGAATTCAGTGATATAAAAGATGGCTACTACATCATGACCAAGTGGAGTTTATTCCAGAAATGCAAGGTTGTTTGAGCATTTGAGAATCCATTAGTGTGATTCACGACATTAACTGAAGGAAGGAGAATACACATGCAACCACCTGGATAGAGTCTTGAAATATGATTTGACAGAATTCAGCACTTGGCCTTAATTTTTTAAAAATCTATTTGCAAACTCGTATTAAAAAGTTATTTCTTCAGTCTGAGAAATGATAGCTACCTTATTGCACATATTAGTCTCAGCAGTGAAATATTTAAAACTGTCTCCTTCATATCTGGAGTACTAGAGGAGTTAGGCAATGAAAACGGCAAGAAAAATAAATAAAAGAGATGATAATTGCATCCAGGTGAAATGGTCATTATTTACTCTCAACATAATCAGCTACTTAGAAAATAAAATTAGTAAACAAACTCATAGTTTTAATAAGTGAATTTAAATACTGTTGCTGATTACAAAGTCAGTATACATTAAAGCAATCATGTTATTGATATAGTTTGGATGTATGTCCCGTCCAAATCTCGTGTTGAAACATAGCCTCCAGTGTTGGAGGTGAGGCCTGGCAAGAGGTATTTTGGTGGGCGGCAGATCCTTCATCGATGGCTTGGTGCCATCTTAGCTGTAATGTGTGAGTTCTCACTCAGTTCACAGGAGATCTGGTTGTTTAAAAGAGTGCGACTCTTCCCCACTTTCTCTGTGCTCCTGCTCTCACCATGTGATACCCGGGCTCTCCTTTCCTTCCCCCATGATTGTTAGCTTCCTGAGGCCCTCACCAGAAGCAATTGCCAGCACCACACCTCCTGTACAGCCTGCAAAACCCTGAGCCAGTTAAACCTCTTTTCTTTATGAATTACCCAGCCTCAGGTATTTCTTTTTAGCAATGTAAGAATGGACTAACACAATAATGTTCTACCATAAACAAATAGAAAACAAAACCAAGAAAATAATTTTATCAATTTCCTCACCTCTTTGTTTTTTTGTTGTGGTTGTTTTTTGTTTTTGAGACAGAGTCTTGCTCTGTCTCCCAGGCTGGGGTGCAATGGTGTGATCTTGGCTCCCCATAGCCACCGCCTCCCGCTCACAAGCGATTCTCCTGCCTCAGCCTCTTGAGTAGCTGGGATTACAGGCATGCACCACCACGTCCGGCTAATTTTTGTATTTTTAGTAGAGGCAGGGTTTCACTATGTTGGCCAGGCTGGTCTTGAACTCTTGACCACGTGATCTGCCCACCTCAGCCTCCCAAAGTGCTGGTACTACAGGCGTGAGCCACCATGCACAGCCCTGTTTTTTTTTTTTTTTTTTTTAGGCAGAGTCTCACTCTGTTGCCCAGGCTGGAGTGCAGTGGTGCGATCTCGGCTCACTGCAATCTCCACCTCCCGGGTTCATGCCATTCTCTGCCTCAGCCTCCCAAGTAGCTAGGATTACAGGCACCTGCCACCATGCCCTGCTAATGTTTTTGTATTTTTAGTAGAGACGGGGTTTCACCATCTTGGCCAGGCTGGTCTTCAACTCCTGACCTCGTGATCCACCCGCCTTGGCCTCCCAAAGTTCTGGGATTACAGACGTGAGCCACCACACCCAGCCACAATGTCTTATTTTTAAAAAAAGAATTATTTTAACAGGTTTACTGAAGCATACTTTACATACTGCAAAATTTACTCATTGTATATATAAAATTTAATGATTTTAGTAAATTAATGGATTTGTGCAATTATTACAACAATCCAGTTTTATAACATTTCTATCATATCCAAAATTTCTGTTTATAGTTAATTCCCACCGATACCCCAAGTCCTAGGCACCCAATGATCTGCTGTTTGTGTCTATAATTTACCTCTTCTAGGTATTTTAAGTAAAGGAAATCATACAACATGTAATCTTTTGTGTCCAGTTTCCTTCACTTAGTTAACATTATTGAAGTTCACCAGTTTTGTAGTATGTATCATCAATTTTGTTTCTTTTCTTTTCATTCCTTTTTATTCAGGTTATCTTCTTTCATTTGTGTAAATTTATAAGGTACAAGTGTAGTTTTGTTACCTGCATAGATTGCATAGTGGTGAAGTCGGTGTTTCTGCAGTATCCATCACCCAATTCACATGCACTGTACCCATTAAGTAATCTCTCATCATCCGCAGTGCAAGCATTGAAACTTGCCTTGGGAAAACTATCCTCATGTTCATGGTATCTCCCCTGTCAGATAAGTCTATTTTTGTCCCCTTTTATTGTTGAATGATACTGCCTTGCATGGACATAGTACCATTTTGTTTATCCATTTACTAGTTGAAGGATATTTGGATTGTTTTCAGTATGGGCCTACTATGGCTAATGCTGTTCTGAACACTCAAACACATATCTTTGTGAGGACATATGTTTTTATGTCTCTTAGGTAGATTCCAAGGAGTGAAACTGCTGGGTCATATGGTAAACGTATGTTAAACTTTTTAGGAAATTGCCAATTTCCAGGTATTTGTAAAATTATACACTCCCACCAGCACTACATAAGGGTTTAGAAAGTCCGTTTGTCTTCAAACATAATTATAATGTTGATGATACTATTAGAAATAACATCTGTCAGCTAAACACGGTGGCTCATGCCTGTGGTCCCAGCACTTTGGGAGGCCAAAGCAGGCAGATCACGAGGTCAGGAGTTCGAGACCAGCCTGCCCAACACAGTGAAACCCTGTCTCTGCTAAAAACGTAAAAATTAGCCAGGCACAGTGGCATGCACCTGTAGTCGCAGCTACTCGGTAGGGTGAGGCAGGAGAATCGCTTGAACCCAGGAGTCGAAGGTTGTGCGGAGCAGGGAATACACCACTGCACTTCAGCCTGGACAACAGAGCGAGACCCCGTCTCAAAAAAGAAAAATAAATAAATAACATCTGTCTTGTTAATTTTATATTTTCTCTTTATGTTTCAATTTTTATTTATCCAGCATCTATTTAGTGAAAAAAATGAGTTTGGAATACAACTTACCAAAAACTGAAACTAAATCTCAACTCTTTCTAAATTCTAGACTCTGTTTTACTAGTATTTAATGAAAAAGAAAATCAGTAACAAATGCCTTTTTAAAAATAAATGTATAGTGTGTTTTAAAACAGCACCTTATAGAGCTAGTCATTCCTTATTCTGCTTTTTTTCAAAAATTTCCCTAGAAAATATATTTACCTCATAAAATAACATGTCAGCATACTTGAGTTCTAAAAACAATCCTTTTTACTTGCTTTTTTGTTTTATTGTAATTGAGTTAATGGCTGACATTTAATACTCAATGTATGTATATTATATATATTTATGTTTTTAAAATATATATATTTAAATATATGTATAATAAATAGATATGTATTTAAAAAGACCCAGAAACCCTGAATTGAGGATGCCTATTGGGAATCTCTAGGCCTTCATGTGGAATTTAACTACAAATACTAACAACCTAATAATACCACAATCTTTCATTTCCCTACCCTGAAATCAATCTCTCCTACTCCATCCACCATTTCTTTATTTTAAAAATATATGATTTTGCTCCTTTTCTTCCCATGTGCATCAGGCCCACTCTACAAAGGTTGAATCCTGGCTTGTCTGAGCCCATGTGATCCCACGGTCATTCCATTGTTTGAGTAAGTGGGTACTGGGAACACTCTAGAAACTGTTTAGTTGATTCTTATAAAGACACACAGGAAAAAGTCATATCCTTTTCCTGCCTTTGGGAGTTGTGAAAGAATAAGAAACCTAAAGCTGCTGCAGGGGTCCTCCTACCATCTCAGGAAAGCTGACGTGCTGTGTGTGATAGAGAGATGAGCTATGAAGTTCCAGGATCGCTGGTGATGACACTGGCCTGCTGAGTTGAGCAACCCTGGAGACGCCCAGCCTCGGATCTATCGGCTATGTGAGATAATGGGTTAAAGAAAAGAAAAGCCCACTAGATGGGATTTCCTGCTATTTGCAGCAGAAGGCATCTTCATTCAAATATTCATCCCACACATTTTAGTTCTACCTTAGAATTCCACACCACAAGTCTCATATAAAATGAGACAAATCATTTCCTCAACTTAAGCAACAAAGCGTATTTGTTGCAACTCTGGGATCAAACAGAATAGACATAATTATCAGCTTAATATAATCCTATAGGATTTATATTCTTATAGGATATATACATACATGTACTGCTATGTATGTACAATAATACATAACTAAAAACAAAATATGCATAAAATAAACATTGAATTTGATTGAAAATAAAATAACAGTTGTCTCTGACAGATAAATTACGTTCAAATGATTATTACTTTGAAGTAAACTTTTGAATTCATTATGTACTTTCAGATTTGACATATTTGATGCTGACTCTCAGAACACAATGGAGAACCCTCTATCTTCTAAATTTGTCTTTCTCTGAAATCTGTACAGGTCCTTTGGTAATACTATATAATTGAAGTCTCTGGAATGAAAAACTATATACTAATTTAAAGGTACAGATTCACAATATTGTAGATGGGGTTAAGAAAAAGTTCTGATTGACTTGCTGGCTGGTTTCTCATCTCATGTTTGCCAAGTTTGTTTCAGTTGTTATAGTCTGTTCTCAATTTTTATACATTGCCTTTTTGAATGTTAGGTTTACTTTTTTAATTGACAAGTAAAAATTGTATAGTATATTTATGTTGTAGAGCATGAGGTTTTGATATATGCCTATAGTGTGGAATGTCTAAATCAAGCTATTTAACATGCATTTACCTCATATACTTATTATATATACATGAAAACCATTATTCTATTGGGAAATAATCTTCCCTTTTTCTTATTTTTTGTCCTTGCAGCCAAATGGACCAGATAATTTTTAACTCCATGTTTGAGAAACATTTAATAATGCAATGTGTGGCACAAGGGGAGTACAGATGCACGGGAGGCAGGACAGTTTAGGTAAAGGGAAGCACAAAAGTTGAAGATGAGGCACTGCCATCAAAGCTGTGAGGCTTCAGGCCAAGAACAGGAGCTAAGGAAGCCACAAGGGAGGACATTTTCTGCAGAGTTGCTGAACCAGTAACAACCTGGTCCTGACAAAGCTCTTGTGGAAGAATAAGAGCCAAGTGGGAAAGCTTTTCATCTTGCAAAGCTGGGGCAGAAGGTTCTTCCTTGAATGTGGTCATCTGCACTTCAGCTCAAGAGTCCTGCAGAGACAGAGGAAATTGTTTTCAGACCTGGCTTTACTAAAACTTCTTTTCCCCGCTTTCAACGACTCAGATGAGAGCACTGCAGGGAGAAGAAAAACAAGTTCCTAAGTCTCCCTGAGCCAATGATCCTGCAAAGCACAGGCCTTTTCTAAGTGGAGAGGAGGAGTTCTGGGGTAAATTGCCTGATCAGAAATCTGGATCCAAAGTCTTTCCTATTATTTCTGTCTCATGCCTTATCACCTCTGCCATCATTCTAGGGAAACTGAATCTCTTTCTGAAAGAGGATTAAAAGGTATTACCTGTTGGCTGAAGTCCAGAGTGTCCTGGGAAAAAGAGGAAAAGATATACACTTAAAAGATATGGAAGCAAATCTGTCTTCTAACACAATGTCCCAGCCCCAGATCTCCCACCTGAGATTTCTCTAACACCACAACCCACACCAACCAGGGCAGAGAGGAACAGAAACAGACCATGTGACCCATGAAGCATGAGGTGTCTGTCACAGGATCCAGCGTAATTGCATTAGCCTTAGTGGCTCTTCCTTAATTTGCTCCAGGATCTCCAACCAAAGAATCCCTACTTGTTAACCTTTCTCTTATCTCTGCAGGCCACAAGCTATTATGCTTTGACATAGTAACCATGCACTGATGATTTCTGGATTATCAGGACATTGGAGGTCATTTGGGGAAAGAAAGGCTTTATCCAGGGCCACTGATATACTGAGAACTAACCCTAGCAAAGTCATAGTTCCTCCTCCAGAAAAGCCTATGGAGATTCAGCTCCCAAAAGCTCCTCACCTTTCTGATTCCTGAAGTAGATGAACAGCCCTGTCCCAAGGAAGAGCAGGCCCAGCACAAAGCCCCCGACTCCACTCAGCATCTTGCTCTGTGCAGATTCAGACCGTGCACCTGAGAGAGGAAGCCAGGTTTAGTGTTTATTCCAAATTGAACCTCTGTAATTGAGACCCTAAGATTCAGAGCTTTCAAAATGGGAAAGAAGGCTGCCCTGTAAGAACTAAAATAACTAGCCATTTCTGGGGGAAAAAACGGTTTTCAAATCACACTGTAACAGTTACAAGGTCCAGGCATCAAACTCATTTCAAATATTACAGCCTTGATGTAAGGCGCAACTTCAAAATCTGATCAACAGAAAGCCTGAGTCTCAGTGAGGTTAAGTAGTTTGTCTAGAGTGACAGAGCTAATAAAAGGCAGAGTTGAGATTGGACTCCCCTCATGTCAGGAAGGCCCCTAGAGTTCTCCTCTTCTCACAACAAACAACTCAGATCAACAGCACCAGAAACGCAGTCTCAGACCCAGAGGCAGGGCCTGGAGCCTGGGGAGAGTGGGTGACCCTGAACTGGGACATCATGGGGAGGTTCAAAAGAGGGACAGCCTCTCCCGCCTGGCAGGCGTGACTGATTCCCCAGGGGGTACAGGTGTTTCTAGAAACACCTACAGGGCTACCCCCAGTAGCCCAGTGACCTGTGCTGATGGAGATGAGAACATGGAGCAAATGAAAATAGGATGTGGGAGAGGAGAAACCTGACACTCAGGGATTAGCACAGTCCCCTTCTTGGTGGGTGAGAAATTTAGGAAGTCAGAAAGCTGCTAACTCCATTGCACCGTGAGAGGGCTCATCATGCTTGGATGCTCCACTTGGCAGGTGTAAACCTCTCCACTCCGAGGAACTGTTTCCAGCATCACCAGGGTCTGGAAGGTCCAGTCTCCATTCTGGATCAGGCCTGTGGACACCACCCCAGCCTTCTCTTCCTGGCCGTTCCGGAACCACCTGACTTCAATGCTGCCTGGATAGAAACCATTCACAGAGCAGACCAGGAGGTTGTGGTGCTGCAGGGGCTGGGTCTTTGAAGGATACACAGTCACCTTAGGTTGGACTAGGAGAAAAAAAAGGTAGTGGGAATGAGTCATGAAGACAGAGTAAGTCTCCTTGTTTGGCTGTTTGTCTGCTTCTCTGCAAACCCAGGCTCTGACCTTGACCAGGCCTCCAGCACAGCTGGCCATGTGGCCTTACAGTGTCATCAGCCTGGAATTTAATCTTGATAGTGAGGACCCATTAGATTTGAGAGATGTTGTGAAAAATTGTGTTTGTTTCTTCATAGCTTGAAATTGGCATGCATTGTCAAAGTGTTTACAAATCTTTGACAGTAGAGTGTAGTAATTAAAACTGATATCTGAGCCATGTTGCCTGGTTGAAATCCAAGGTCTGCCTTTTACTGGTTGATGCTGGAAGAGTTTTTTGATTCTTCTGTGTCTCAACTTTGTCACCTACAATGAAGGATAATTATACTAATTTACCTCTTGGGGTTATATGAGGATTAATGCACGTAAAATATATAAAACAATGACTGAAGATAGCCTTCAATTTATGAGGTTAGAAAGCTTGTCACTCCATTCCACTGTGAGGGGGCTCATCACACTTGGGTGCTCCACTTGGCACCTATTTATCATCCTTGTACACCGTGACAGAAAAATATGACTTAAAGCAATGTGGGTAGATAAAGGGACAGAGTTGGGTACATGAGGAAACCGAGTATGAATTTTTGGGAATACTACCACCATGCACTCACACCTTAGAACACCACAGAAATGGTTCTGCCCCTGGGAAGGTGGGACAGACAGAAATGATTCTCAAATTTTTACGTTCCTAGAAAAGCATGAGTCCTAACGCAGAGAGAATGATTAAGGAATGTCATTTTAGTTTTGAAAGTTCTTACGTTTACATTTAGCTGATCAATGTATCTCCTGTGCAACACAAGCTTAATTATTATTAGGCCTATCATTGTAAAATGATTTTTCTTTCCAGAATGACATTTGGATTAAGGCAGTGTCTGGGACTCGTCACTTGGGGTGCTTATGCCCAGGAAAATCCCTGACACTAGCATACTCTCAATAAATACAGTTTTTTTTTAGAAGTAAGGAGAAACCTGGAGACAATAATACCACAAAATGGTGGATTTAAGATGATTGTAAATCATTAATACAAATTTCGCAATATATTTTATTAAATAAAAATGTTCAAATTCTTAACATGGAAAATACTTTTCAAAATCCACATACAAACCACAAACTGGAGAAAATGCTGAATCAAATATCAATAAAGTGTTAATAATCTTACAGTACAAAGAACCCACAAAGTCACTGAGAAAAATACTAAGCCCTTAAGATATTAGACAGTAGATCATTGTACATTCCCTACCAAATGAAATAGGGAATTCTTACAGCAGTAATTATAATTGGCCAATAAATAGGTCAAAATAATTCAAAAGAATTACAAATGAAAAATATAAAGTAAAAATTAACCAGAAACATACATTTTCAACTTTTGGTGAAAGTCATAATAAAGGTCAACAAAAAGGGGAAAGTGAGGTAAGTTGTGTCACAACTATTATATACAAAAGAATAAGATGTAACTACTAGAAAACTATTAGCATTATAATAAAATAGTAACTGTGTTAAAACTTTAATTCAAAAAGTTAGTTTCACAGTCACTTCTGCTATGTAAAAATATACACCCTAAAAAAACAAAAACTAGCAAGAAATTTAGACCTAAAGAAGCTTCAGAGGTGCCTCAGAGGTCTCCTCAATTCCCCTAGAAATTAATCTAATGCTTTTACAAACAAACAGCACACACTTTTATTTCAGAGATTACATGAAGGGTGTGTGCCAGGGACAGTCTGGAACTGGCCTCCTCACATTATCCCAAACCTTCCACACTCCTCAGCTCTCCTCCCCTAAACCTTCACCCCAACCACACACACCTTATTCTTCCCTTCCCTGCATCTCTAAGGACCCAGGACAATCAAGGTCTCCTCTCTCTCCAGCCCCCTACACCCACCTCCCATGTCACCTCTGCACAGAGGCCTCCAAGAATAAGAAGCAGCCCCCTCCTGTTTCCCCTCCCACAACAGCCACACAGACAAATCCACACTCTACACACACCTGTGCCTTCAGAACTCCTTGCTCAGGATACAGAAGATTCTTTTTGTTTGTTTTTCTAATATATATATATATATAATTATTATTATTATACTTTAAGTTCTAGGATACATGTGCACAACGTGCAGGTTTGTTACATATGTACACATGTGTCATGTTGGTATGCTGCACCCATTAACTAGTCATTTACATTAGGTATATCTCCTAATGCTATCACTCCCTGCTCCCCCCACCCCACGACAGGCCCCTGTGTGTGATGTTCCCCTTCCTGTGTCCATGTGTTCTCATTGTTCAATTCCCACCTATGAGTGAGAACAAGTGGTGTTTGGTTTTCTGTCCTTGTGATAGTTTGCTGAGAATGATGGTTTCCAGCTGCATCCATGTCCCTACAAAGGACATGAACTGACACTATTCACAATAGCAAAGACTTGGAATTAACCCTAATGTCCATCAATGATAGACTGGATTAAGACAATGTGGCACCTATACACCAGGGAATACTACGCAGCCATAAGAAAGGATAGAGAGGATTCTAAATGCTCACAGATGGCGCACGCTCTCTCTCTCTTCCTCTGTCTCTCTCTCTCTCTCTCTCTCTCACACACACACACACACACACACATACACAGATTCCCCGCTCACAGGGACCCAGGCCCCGCCCTCCACCATGCTCACCTCGCCGCTGCACTGTGAAGCTCTCCACAACCCCGTAGTTGTATCTGCAGTAGGTGTCCACCTCGGCCCGCCTCCGCTCCAGGAGGTCCTTCTGGCTGTTCCAGTACTCAGCGTCAGGCCGCCCCAGCTCCGTCACCGCCTGGTACTCCCCCAGGTCACTGTTGTAGCGCGCGTACTCCTCTTGGTTATAGATGTATCTGATCAGGTTCCACACTCGCTCCGTCCCATTGAGGAAATGACACTCACACTTAGCCTGCTCCAAGAAACGTGCTGTGGGGACACGAACGATCCGGTCACACGGGCGGCCTCCTGAGAAGACACTGACAGCGACGCCACCAACCCGGACTCCCTGGGCGGGGTGCGGGCGCTGGGAACCTTAACCGGCCCCACCCGCAACGCCCACCACCAGCAGCCCAGGGGCTCGTCCTCAGTCTTCCTGAGGCGAACCGGGGTCTGGGGGACCAGGCGGGAAAACCCCTTCTGATCCTCAGGCTTTTGGGGACCCCCTCCCTGCCTCCAGCCTGTTCTGGAGAACTCCAAGCAGGAGCTGGAGGAGGATCCGCCCAGCACCGCGGCCCACGCGGCCTCCTTCTGGGAGTCTTCACCTGAAAGACACTCTCTGCTCCTCTCATCCCACACGCTTTACCGGTTCCTTCAACAGCACCCACCGTGTTCATCCCGTGAACCCTTCCTTAGTGCTGACCTTGTGCCTGGTCTGCGCTGCCTCTAGGAATCCAAACAAAGGAAAACAGACCTCTCCACTCCGCTGGGGGAGCTTAAAGAGCAGTGAACGTGATGGCCAAAAACCAAACACACAAGAGCTTAGACAGGAATGAGAAACGTCAGAAGTGTGGAGTTCTGGAACAGAGAATAAAAGGATGATCTCAATTACATTAGGGTGCCAGAGAAGGACCCTCTGAAGAGTGACAGTTCAGATGTGACTTGACAGGTTAAGCAGGTGAGAGCCAGGGGGCAGAGTGGATGGAGCCTGTGTGTCTGTCTGGACAAAACGGGAGGCACATTTTCAGGTTTAGGAAATCCCATGTACAAAAGGTTGAATTGATGAGCTTCTTCAAAAAACTAGAACAAAGTTCACTAAAGCAGAGAGGCTGAGGGGAAGGAAGGTAAAAGATTAGGCTGGAGAAATCACAAGAAGGCAGGTATTGAAAAGCCTCGTGGGTGGTGTTAGGATTTTGGATTTAACTAAAGACAATGGTAAAGTATTGAAGAGTTTTAAGGAGAATAAAACCATGATCCCGGTAAATGTCCACAAACTTTCCTTTGAATTTCTAAATCCACAAAGCTCTGAAATTCAGTTAAAAAAAACTTGTTTCCACAACTCATTTGGCAAATATCATCTGATAAGGGTAAGTGGTCAAAGGTGTCTCAGAGCTCTTATTGGTGACATGTGCTTCTGTAGTTTCAATACATATAAACACACATACAGATATATGTGAAAATATACACATATGTAAAACACTGTATATATTTTTGATGTTTTTGTCTTTATGTTTGAAGTGTGAAAATGACAAAAAATAACTTAAAATAATCCTGTGGGTAAAAGTGAAATGAATAAATAGTAGCATTTTACATTGTGAATAATATAAAATGTAGAATCACTACACAAATCTGAGGCCTGTTAGTGAGAAACAGTTTCAGCAGCATCACTATTTGTGACTTACAAGAGCAAGTTGTTGAAAGTTAATAGAGATAGTGATGACCAACAACTCATGAAAATGTTGAAAAATATTGCATAAGGCAAAAAATAAATATGAAAATATTAAGCTTGCATTGACTAAATGGATTCAACAAGAAAATGGTTGAATTTATGTAACTGTCTAATTTTTTATAATGAAACAACCAAAAATAAACCATAAAAAACTGAACTGTGTGGTGAGTGTATACCAGATGTGAGCCTAGAATTTTCAGAAAGAGCACAGTGTGAACCAGTGCTCTTAGCCTCAGCACTATTGACATTTTGGACCAGATAATTCCTTGTTGATAGCAGAGGCTGTTCTGAATATTGTAGGTTCTTTAGCAGTGTCCCTGGCTTCTACTCATTGAATATCAGAAGAAACCCCTGTTGTGACAACCAAAAATTGTTCCAAACATTGCCACCGTTCACCAACGATGATGGGAGGGAAGGGAGGGGTGGTGAACTATCCCTGGGTAAGAACTACAGGTGTGAACCA
Organism: Homo sapiens; assembly: GCF_000001405.40. Classification (NCBI taxonomy): domain Eukaryota; kingdom Metazoa; phylum Chordata; class Mammalia; order Primates; family Hominidae; genus Homo; species Homo sapiens. Next base: position 3,883,896 of record NT_167247.2, read on the forward strand.
TCCGAAAAAATCTGTGTTGAACAAGCTACTATTAGTTATGGAGCGCTGAGAATTGCATTGAAAAATATTTGTTGAAAATCTTGGTCCTACATAAAAAGAATGTTTTGTAGAATTCTGGTCCCAATACAGTGCTATCTTTTCAGAAAATGAACTTGATGAGAACCAAGATTTAATGATTTCCTTGCCTTACCAAGTAGCCACTAATCATATCGTTTATCATTCACATCATCTTTTTTCTTAATTTCTCTGCCACTGGTCCACTAATTTTCTGTAATAATGAATCACAACCACAGCTATTTTATTTCCCATTTGATGCCCCAACTAACTCATTTCTTTCAGTCTCCCACTCCCAACAATACCAGCAGGCATCAAATTTCCAGCCTTGGCCAGAGGCAGAACTCCTGGTTTTGCAGTCAAGTCCCCTTAGAAAGGGAGAAACCAAGAAAATGACATACTCATACAGACAGTTTGCAAAAACGAGCAGGTCCCCAGACTGTGAGCAAGACCTGCAGAAATGTCCCTTTGCCCTTTAGAAATGATGGCAGAGAGGTGTGCACCCTGGATAAAACAATGTCTATCTTTTTATCCCTAAATTATCTAAGTACTTTCTTTACAGACAGAAAGTTAAAAAATAAACATGTGTGAAGTTGCTGTCACTGTGGTTTGCATGACGAGCACTGTAATCCATGTCCATGTGTCTCACTTAGGGTTGACAGATTTGGCAAATAAAACCAGAGGATGCCCAGGTAAATTTGAATTTCCAAGAAATCATGGTTGTGTATCTGAAATTCAGATTTAACTAGGAACATGTATTTTATTTGGTAACTCTAGCCCAACTTGCTAGTCAAACCTCAGAAGAAGGAGTGATTTAATACTTCCTTGTGTTCTTCAACACATGACCATTATAGACATACAGAACTTTTAAAATGATAAATGTGAAATGAATGAAAGTTTCTCCTATACATCGGAACTAGCAGCCCTTGCATCTCTGTCTGCACTCTAAGAAGCAACCTGGTACATTTGAATATCAGAAATTCTGTCAATAATTCAGACACAATATAGTCACTACTCACTAATGATGGTCAGTCAAACTCTCAAACTCTAGAATCAGATAACCTGAATAAAAAACATGATCTCTTCTACTTGGGGCAATTTTTACCAACCATAATCCTTTTTGTAATCTATCAAATGCATTTAATAATAGCGTAATCCTCACAGGATTACTGTTAAGTGTAAAATTAAATGATGACTCTTATTAGCACTGATCACATAATAAACACTCAAATGCATTCCCATTTTAACTTTTATGATCCCTATAACTGCAGCTCACATCATTTTATGTATTCCTGAATTCTAGAGCAATTAGTATCTTCATCATGATTTTGCAATTGTCTTCTGTTCTTCTATTAGTTTCATAAGGAATTGTCATTCTGAAAACATAGGGCAGAAACACTGGTTTATGTCTAATAAAGCAGTATACCTAAACCTCACACAAAAGGCATCTGCTGACATAGAAGAAAGGGACTTTCTACATGCTCAGATTTAAACTGCAATCTGATTTCCAGCACTAAATTTGTAACACTGGGTTTTACTTATATCCTCTCAATTTTAGATTCCAGAGATGTATATGTTTTTTAAATACCACAGATACAACAGGATAATTATTGAAATTGCATACTGAAAATCATAGGCCTGGTACACAGTCACTGCAAAATGTTACCTGGCATATACTGATGGCGACCAGATTCATTTTATTTATCACTCCATTCTCATGACCTAGAGTAATAACTGGTATATGTATGCTATGTCATTAATAAATATTGGCTGTGTGAAATACTGGCTGCGTTAAATATTGGCTGTGTGACCTTTTGCATAAGTAGTCAGCACTGCACACAGGGGCTCTCTAGCATTTCCTCGCTAATAATGACTGAGCATCTCTGGTTCACAAGTCCTCCTCCTTCTCTTCAGCTTCTTTTTATTTATTTATTTATTTATTTATTTATTTTTTATTATACTTTAAGTTCTAGGGTACATGTGCACAATGTGCAGGTTTGTTACACACATATACATGTGCCGTGTTGGTGTGCTGCACCCATTAACTCGTCATTTACATTATGCATATCTCCTAATGCTATCCCTCCCCCCTCCCCCCGGTGTGTGATGTTCCTCTTCCTGTGTCCAAGTGTTCTCATTGTTCAATTCCCACCTATGAGTGAGAACATGTGGTGTTTGGTTTTTTTCTGCTTGTGATAGTTTGCTGAGAATTATGGTTTCCAGCTTCATCCATGTCCCTACAAAGGACATGAACTCATCCTTTTTTATGGCTGCATAGTATTCCATGGTGTGTATGTGCCACATTTTCTTCATCCAGTCTATCATTGATGGACATTTGGGTTGGTTCCAAGTCTTTGCTATTGTGAATAGTGCCACAATAAACATACGTGTGCATGTGTCTTTATAGCAGCATGATTTATAATCCTTTGGGTATATACCCAGTAATGGGATGGCTGGGTCAAACAGTATTTCTAGTTCTAGATCCTTAAGGAATCACCACACTGTCTTCCACAATGGTTGAACTCGTTTACAGTCCCACCAACAGTGTAAAAGTGTTCCTATTTCTCCACATCCTCTCTAGCACCTGTTGTTTCCTGACTTTTTAATGAATGCCATTCTAACTGGTGTGAGATGGTATCTCATTGTGGTTTTGATTTGCATTTCTCTGATGGCCAGTGATGATGAGCATTTTTTCATGTGTCTGTTGGCTGCATAAATGTCTTCTTTTGAGAAGTGTCTGTTCATATCCTTTGCCCACTTTTGGATGGGGTTGTTTGTTTTTTTCTTGTAAATTTGTTTGAGTTCTTTGTAGATTCTGGATATTAGCCCTTTGTCAGATGAGTAGATTGCAAAAATTTTCTCCCATTCTGTAGGTTGCCTGTTGACTCTGATGGTATTTTCTTTTGCTGTGCAGAAGCTCTTTAGTTTAATCAGATCCCATTTGTCCATTTTGGCTTTTGTTGCCATTGCTTTTGGTGTTTTAGACATGAAGTCCTTGCCCATGCCTATGTCCCGAATGGTATTGCCTAGGTTTTCTTCTAGGGTTTTTATGGTTTTAAGTCTAACATTTAAGTCTTTAATCCATCTTGAATTAATTTTTGTATGAGGTGTAAAGAAAGGATCCAGTTTTAGCTTTCTACATATGTGCAAAAAATCACAAGCATTCTTATACACCAATAACAGACAAACAGAGAGCCAAATCATGAGTGAACTCCCATTCACAGTTGCTTCAAAGAGTATAGAATACCTAGGAATCCAACTTACAAGGGACGTGAAGGGCCTCTTCAAGGAGAACTACAAACCACTGCTCAACTAAATAAAAGAGGACACAAACAAATGGAAGAACATTCCATGCTCATGGATAAGAAGAATAAATATCGTGAAAATGGCCATACTGCCCAAGGTAATTTATAGATTCAGTGCCATCCACATCAAGCTACCAATGACTTTCTTCACAGAATTGCAAAAAACTACTTTAAAATTCATATGGAACCAAAAAAGAGCCCGCATTGCCAAGACAATCCTAAGCCAAAAGAACAAAGCTGGAGGCATCATGCTGCCTGACTTCAAACTGTACTACAAGCCTACAGTAACCAAAACAGCATGGTACTGGTACCAAAACAGAGATATAGACCAATGGAACAGAACAGAGCCCTCAGAAATAATACCACACATCTACAACCATCTGATGTTTGATAAATCTGACAAAAAACAGAAATGGGGAAAGGATTCCCTATTTAATAAATGGTGCTGGGAAAGCTGGCTCTTCAGCTTCTTTAGCCTTTTCCTTTAGAATCAGCTGGCTCCCTGAACCCAGAGCACAGTCCTTCCCTGAAGCTCTCTACTCAAAACAGTCAATCTTAACTTCGTCCTCACTTCTACTTGCTCTTCAAATGGTCCAATCCAGTTTCCTCCCTGGATACTCCATTGACTGCAAATATCAACTCCAGCAAACCAGCAACCCAGCACTTGCTTCTCTGTCACGTTCTCACTTCCCTCTCCTCTTAGTGGTACTCACCACAATTGGCCTCTCCCTTCTCCTTGAAAATAATCTGTTTTTCTTCACTTACACGCATTATGTTATCTTGGGTTTTCTCCAGCCTCCCTGGGCTCTTTCTCAGCCCCCTTTGCTGGCCTGTACCCTCTTCTTTTTTCTCCACACAATCCATCTCCCTATGTATCATCTTACACTCCCTGGAATTTAACACACTACACTTATTGATGCCGCCAACATAAATACCTGAAGCCCTAGCTTCACCTCACCATGAGTCTCTTAAATGCCATTGACCTTCTGATTGCTCCACATAAATGTCAATAAATCATCTCAAATTTAAACAAAACTTTTATTTCCAACCACCCACTTCAAATCATTTCCTCCCATAGTTTTTCCTATCTCAATAAACAACACTACCACCCACTTATTTGTCAAAACAAAATCCTTAGGAATAAGCTTGATTGTTCTAACCCCTTTACAGTAATTCATTAGCAAGCTAAGCAAAAATACATGCCAAGTCTGTCCACTTTATCTTTTTCACTCTCTTTATCACTAATGCACTCCATGAAGCCACAAGCCTGTTTTCCCTGGATAATTCTCTGCTGTGCTCCTAAATAGTCTTCCTGACCACTTTTGAACCCCAACAATCCAATTCCTACAGAGTAGCTAGAGTTAGTTTTAAAAATTGAATATAGGCCGGGTGCAGTGGCTCACGCCTGTAATCCCAGCACTTTGGGAGGCCAAGGTGGGCAGATCACGAGGTCAGGAGATCGAGACCAACCTGGCTAACACGGTGAAACCTCATCCCTATTAAAAATACAAAAAATTAGCCAGGTGTAGTGGCATGCGCCTGTGGTCCCAGTTACTCGGGAGGCTGAGGCAATAGAATCGCTTGAACCCGGGAGGCGGAGGTTGCAGTAAACCGAGATTGTGCCACTGCAATCTAGCCTGGGCAACAGAGCAAGACTCGATCTCACAAACACACACACACAAAATTGAATATAAATTGACTCTCCGTGTAACCGTACAGTAGTTTCTCATATCTATTTAAATAAAATTCAGTCTGGGCACAGTGGCCCACTCTTGTAATCCCAGCACTTTGGGAGGCCAAGGCAGACAGATTATCTGAGGTCAGGAGTTCGAGACCAGCCTGGTCAACATGGTGATACCCCATCTCCACTAAAAATACAAAAAAATAGCCAGGTATGGTGGTGGGTGCCTGTAATCCCAGCTACTTGGGAAGCTGAGGCAGGAGAATCACTTGAACCCAGGAGGCGGAGGTTGCAGTGAGCCGAGATTGTGCCATTGCACTCCAGTCTGGGCCACAAGAATGAAACTCTGTCTCAAAATAAATAAATAAATGAAATTCAAATTTTTTACCGTGGATTTCAGAGCCTAATATGAGGAGGCTCCTGACTTCCTCTCTGTGTTCTACCTCATCTTCTGCCCCCCTATTTCCTTGCTTCCTATACATCAGCCCCTCTAGCCTTCTTTCTCTCCCTCCACATAATTTCCCACACCAGGGCTTTCCCTCGATTCAGTCTCCCTGGAACTTTTGTCCATTAGATCTTCACAACTGTCTACTTACTTTGTTGTCTCAGCTGAATGTCACTTTCTCAGGTAGGGCTCCCTAAACATATGAACTAAAGTAGGTGAATCCATTTCTATCTTTCCGACAAACCTGTTGTCTTTTCTTCAGTGCACTATGACTCTCTAACATTTTCTTTTTTGTTAAATGCTTATTGGGTTAGTGTCTGTCTCCTCTATTGTTGTGTAATTTCCTTGAGAGTCGGGACCCTCTCTATCTTACTCAAATAGAATGATTTGAACCTAGAATGGAGCCCAGTACACAGTAGCTGCTGAGAAAAATAAGTGTGGTTTACACGAATAAACCAGGGTATGAGAACTGATCACTGTGGGGATCCCGGAAAGCAAGAAGGGGCTCAAGCTCCAGCACCCTTTCATTTTGATGTCACACTAGACCCCTTCTCCTCCCGGTGAGAAATACAGGCAAACTTCTTCTTTCTCCTCCTTCTACTTGGAAGAAGAATTCACAGATAAAGAAACAGTGATTTAAGAAAAAGGAAATTTTTTTATTAAGAGTCATTTCTTTTTGCCTGGGCACAGTGGCTCACATCTATAATCCTAGCACGATGGGAGGCCAAGGCAGGAGGATTGCTTGAGTCCAGCAGTTTAAGACCAGCCTGGGCAACATGGCAAAATCTCATCTCTACCAAAATTAAAAAATTAGCTGGGCGTGGTTGCCTGCCTCTATTCCCAGCTATTCCGGAGCTTGAGGAGGGAAGATCGCTTGAGCATGGGAGGCAGTGGTTGCAGTGAGCCTCGATCACACCACTGAGCTACAGCCTGGGTGACAGAGCTAGGCCCTATCTCAAAAAGAAAAAAATTATGTCTTTCAATGGATCTCATAGTGCTAAGGATCTGTGCAAGCTTTAGAGATTTTTGGAAATGATGACAACATAGCTGGGGAAAAGAGAGAAAGTGGAGGAAGAGGTAAGCAGACATGGCTAATTAAGGAAAGCTGAGGGCATGATGGGTGAACCTATGAAATTTAGGACAAGACCCCAGTAAGACAATGAGTTTCCAGGACTTGCTCATTGACTTTCAGCCTTATGAGACATGAACAATGTCCACATTGTCTCAAAAACCCCACACAGAGTATATAGTTTGAACATTATTAAATTTCTGATATTTGATTATTTTTGACTTACAAAAATAGAATTTCATACAATTTATACTACATTAGTTAAATCTCTTCTGTCATGTCTAGTTAGAGCACGTAAGAGATGTAGGAGAAACAAGTATAGAACGGTTAAAAAAGATTCATAATAAACACTAACCTGGGCCGGTTTTCCAGAGGATGCCTAAAGTTCTTTAGGCACCAATGAATACCGCATAAATGCTCTATATCTGTAAGGTGACTCCACGTACTAAAGATCTCAGCTTCAGTTCCACGGATTTTTCCCCATAAGAAAGAAAGAGCACTAAGTATAACTTTTGTCAGAGAACCTACATAGGCAACAGGGGTACAGGCTTTATAAACATTGGAGTTCAGAAAGAAAAGAAAGGAGATAATGGGGAGGCCACTGGATCCATCCTCACATATGAGGAAGAGGGGCCAACACCAAAGGTCCTGTGGAGGACATAACACTGGATCGTCTAGGAGAGACCCTTTGAATTCCCTTGACTCCCACAAAATTTTCAGTAAAAACCTCCTTTTGTCTGACATAAGTCAACATAATAAAGGGAAGTGCTGTATGGGGAAATTATTTTAGCATACTTATTTCTAAATCCTCTAAAGACCCTGAGGACATGTGATGCATAGGTTTTATTGGTGGAGATTTGAGAAGAAATGACCTGTGTGTAGGCCCTTTACACAAATCTCATGGACAGGACAAGTAGCCAAGCGCCTTTTGTGGTGGAAATAATTTGGGATCCATCTGATAAAGATGGGCAATCTCTGAAGAAAGTGTCACAATTTCATAAGAGACATAGCCTGGGCACAATGTTAACAAAACTTCCTATTTTTGCCCCCACCCCATAGTAGCTCTGCAGTCACAATGTGCACTTACGTTGGGTGTCCCCAGCCAAAGCCAGTGGGGAGCTCAGCACCGTCAATGTCACTGTCAGCGCTGCCATACAGGAGCCTCCAGGGAGCTTCAGACACACCATGCTGGAGAAGAGGACAAGACCAGTGGTCACAGCAGCAGGCAAGTCTCAATCAGGGAGAACTATGGCCCCCCTCCACCCACATTCCAAATTATAGGAAGGAAGTTACTGATTTCCTTGCTCCTTGATTGGGTAATCTCGTGTTGGAGAACCAGTCAGCACCTGAGTTCACTAGCATCATCAGTTGCTGGTCAGAGATGCTGTATGAAGGTCCTCCTCTGAAACAATTGTCTTCTTTAAAGGATTGTTTTAATTTAGTACTCAAAAGGTTTGATCCAGTTGCATGTAAAACATTTTAATTGGGTCCCTATTGTGAGCCAGCTCTGAGCTGGTCAGTGATGTGTTCACAAGTTTGAGCCTTGTAAGAGCATTCATTTCCCACTTGACAAGAGAAGTATTTGCAGCAGTGACCGTGTTTAGGAGTAAATGAGATGGAGGGAACATGGTTGCAAATGTGCAGACCTTTAATCTGGTCCTTATTGCACCATATCTTAATGTCGTAGATTTGGGAAAATTATTTCATGTCTCACAGTTGAAATGAAGGCACCGTGATCTTTTAGGTCTTTCAATACTGGAAAATGCTGTGATTCTGTGGATGCCTCAAGAAGCAGCAGCCCCGGGTATCTGATGATATGACAGAATGACAGCTGTTGACTAGAGAGCTTAATCTGCACCTGTTTACAGGTGGGGATGTCTTTAATAAGTTAAAGGAAATGGAAAGTTAATAATTTAATCTGAGTAAAAGGTTGTTTTCAAGTGTGTCTCCTGATGCTGCCCTCAAGTTTAGTGGCAGCTCCAGAACACACACAGGCAAGGGGCTTGCAGGGGCCACCTATGTGCAATGGAGGCTCTGAAGGTGCCTTTGTCCAGCACTTACCCTAAAAATGTGATAAGGTCAACTGTGCAATCCAAGTATTCAGGGGGCTGAGAGATCGATCAAAGACTCAACGTGAGCTGTTGACAGAACAACTCTGTTTTAAAATAATTAATATTTTACATGAAGAGTGTTTAATCCCTCATTCCTGGTACCCATTAGGATTTCCTCATTTGACTGAGGCTATGGCCCTTTACTACTGTGCTTCTCTTGTTTTATCGTAAGGGAAGATATAAGAAGACTGTGCTAACTAATACGTTATAGAATGTTCAGGAAAGAGAGTCCTAGGGAAAAACTATGAATTATATCAGTTGATGTACTCATGTAATTTTAAACATATAATTCTACATTTAGATAATTATTATGCTTTATATTAATATAAATGTGAAATCTGAGATTCAGAATGGACTTCATAGTACAACTATACATGTAAAGTTCTGCATTAATTCACACTCTACCACAGTTCTGATAGGCACTCCTTCCTTATGTGCCTTAGTGTTTCCAGGGGCAGGATTCTCACCATGCTGCAGCAGAAATAAGCATTTTACTTTGTACTCAGAATTGTACTAAGGGCTTTCTATACTTCATATGTTTATTTCATTCTCACATCAGCTCAGTAAAATAAACACCCTTTTCATGCTTACAGGTGGAGAGAATAAAGAGATGGAGGTAAAACAACTTTTCCAAAGGTACAAAGCTAGTAAAAGGTACACTATGGAGTGAGCCAAATTATCTACCCCTCAAGCTCAGCCACTATATCATACTCCTTCACATTCTATTTCTGAGAATAATGTTCCTTGTATTAAAATTATTTATATCCCTATAATTTATGGGTGTGCATAGCAATAAGACTACTTCTTTTAATGAATGGTATCATTACATAATTTGAGAAAGCCACTATGTAGCAATTCTGGTTCCTTCAAAAGAATCCCCTCATCATCATCGACAAGAGGAAGATCCCGTCAAAAACAAACAAAAACAAAAACAAAAAACACAAAGGAAGAAAAAAGAAAAGAAGAAAGAATTTGTGAAAAAAATAAACTAATTGTGATGATGACAATCTAGGAAAGCCATCTAAGGTTCACCTTAGCATTTTAGGATAAAAGGGTGGTGATGATGGCAGTGGCGAGCTCTCCAGAGTGGCTAGTTGCAGTGGGAAGTTGCAAGCAGTGGTGGCAGGAACGACTGTGGCAGCAGTGGCC